>NW_021159995.1:0-276109 GCF_000001405.40 Homo sapiens | reverse complement strand
TACTTATCTAGTTAAAAGATAATTCCTGATGTAAGAGTATTCTGAACTAGTTTTGAAAACTTCAATAAATAAGAAATAATCTCTAGATAATTCTTGTAAAATTATCAAATTTCTTTCCTTAGCTCCCTAAGAAAAACATACATTCCAAGGACTTGGTAAATTAAATTAAAAATAACTTTTTCTGGGACTGTTTCTTTAAGTTTCACTGGTCAACAATGTTGCCATTCTTTATATTTTACTTTATTTTATTAGGCAGAGTCTTGGTCTGTCACCCAGGCTGGAGTGCAATGGCTCCATCTCGGCTCACTGCAACCTCCGTCTCCCACGTTCAAGTGATTCTCATGCCTCAGCCTCCCAAGTAGCTGAGACTACTGGCACGTGCCACCACACCTGACTAATTTTTGCATTTTTTTAAGTAGAGGCGGGGTTTCACGATGTTGGCCAGGCTGGTCTCAAACTCCTGACTTAATGTGATCCACCCTTCTCGGCCTCCCAGAGTGCTGGGATTACAAGCGTGAGACACAATGCGTGCTGGGCCTAACAGTGTTCCCATTCTCAACTCATAGATCTGGTTTATAAAAGTCAGTCAGATATTTTCTAGACCATATAAATGTCAGTCACAATATTTATCAAAATGATCACTCACTTTAAATTTAGCTGTGGTACAGACTGTGAACCACTTACGCTTAGTTTGACAGAGCAGATGTGAGGATCAATGTTTATCTTCATAATTATGTCATAAAGTTCTTACATCTCAAAGACTGTGTGCTTACATTCACAAAATTCTAGAACTCGACATGTATAATTCGACAGATTTTCTCTTCCAACTGATGTGATGTAGCAAGATGAGCAACAAAAGAAGAATCCCAAGATAATCACGTAATTATGTTAGGAGAGATTCTCAGTTCAATCTAATCCTGTCTAAACAGGCTGAAAGAAATTAGTCACTCAGAATTATATAAAAGGCTCTATTGAGGTATGTAAAACAATCTGCACAGATTTTTTCAACCTCTTGTTGTGCCACCTAGGATATATGAATAGAGTTAAATTAGAATGTTGCTGTGAACTATTTCTTCAACTTTATCTTCTTAGGAAGTTTTGTAGTTGTTTAGGACTGGGGAGAGAACTTAAAGAAATAACAGGAACTTGAGAAGAAATCACTTATACAGGGGCACCTCACTTAAAATTGCTGAGCAATTTAAGCATAAATATAGGGCATAGATATAGACAGATAGGAAGACCAATAAATTGATCAAATCAATTATATATATATTTATACATATATATATATATACATAAGTAGATTTACAATGTCTTTCACATTACATGCAGATATTAACCATCAAATCCTTGTTATGTAGAAAGAGTGACCACAAAAGATGCACCGATTTATTTAATGTCTAATTCAGTAAATAAATACTCATCAGCTTCCATGCATGTGCCAGGTCTTCAGCTAGATTTTAAAAAAATACAATGTTGATTCAAATAATTAAAATTCATTCTCTTATATAATATAATATAAAAAAAATTAAAAAATACATTTATTTCAATTATCCAATACTGACTACAGAAGATAATAGACTTATTTCTAGAACTCATTGCATTTATGTCTAGAAAACTGCATTTTCAAGACAAAGGACTTAGAGAAATAGCACAAGTGTGTGCCTGTGCAGACGTGCATTAATTGGTGAAATAAAAATATTAAATATATAATATACTAGGCATACTAGGGTGTGAACTAAATAATTGTATTAAGTATATGTAATGTATATTCTGTGTGTGTATGTGTTTGAGCATATGTCTGTCTGTATGCATGTATAAATATTTAATATATATGTACAGTACATGGTATTTTCTACCTATGTCATGGTTTCTATCAGATAGTGACAATTCCAGTGAAGAAAAATAATACCAGAGGGCCAGGCATGGTGGCTCACGCCTGTCATTTCAGCACTTTGGGAGGCCGAAGTGGGTGGATCACCTGAGGTTAGGAGTTCGAGACCAGCCTGACCAACATGGTGAAACCCTGTCTCTACTAAACATACAAAAATTAGCCAGACGTGTTGGCAGGCGCCTGTAGTCCCAGCTCCTCGGGAGGCTGAGATAGGAGAATTGCTTGAACCCGGATAGTGAGGAATAAGTTGCTGTGGGTTGAGGGTTTGCTAGGTTTATTTAGAATAGACAGATAAATCTTGATATGACATAATCTGATACCAAAATTTGGTAGATGTTTCACGTCCATTAGGGCAGTGTGGACAGTTAGGTGCTTTGACTTTTGCCTTGAATGATACAGAAAACCATTGTAGAGTTTGAGAAGAAACAGGCAATTCATCTTATGTATAATGAAAAGCCTTCTGCTGCAATGAAGAGAAAAGATTATAGAGGTAAATGAGCAAACGGAGAAAGCAGTTGGGGACCCCTGTAATAAATGCACTAGCCCAGGGATGCCAGTGGCTTGGGGAAGGTGGCAGCTTTATGAATTTTTCATATCTTTATAAAAGTCTCAATTCTTCATGGCACAGTCTTGTGCTGTAAGCTGTTATTTCACATCATGCGTGTTTCCTCAATTCCCCATTTTAAATCCATATATTAAGATATTTTTGTTTCTCTTAAATATATGATATTGAGGTACATTATCTTTATGAACTACTTTATATATCAATATATATTTAGACTATATTTTTAATTATATTTCTAAGTGTTCGATTATTATATAATAATTATAGAATATTTAGAGATGAGGGCAAATGAAGATCACCTTTAAGTCTACCATTTGAACCTTTGCATTCTTTTGTTTTGAATACATACATGTATATATGTGTATGATTATGGTCACTATAAAAGTAGATTGTTGTCTGATTTTTGCACACACAGGAAAATTTATATATGCTTAAATATGCCTAAATACTCATTATGTTTTAAAACGTAATTTTATTATTTAATAAATAATAAAATACATATATAATAATAATATTATTAATTATTTTAATCACCAATTATTTACTGAGTACTTAATATAGACAGGGCCTCTTCTTTGCACTTAGAATACATCAGTTAACACAACTAGGAAAAGAATGGCTGCACACATAAAACTTATGTTCTGTGGCAGGAAGTAACTGATAAATGATAATAAATAATAATAAATAATTGTAACATTATGATAGAAGGTGATAATTTTCATGGGAAAATATAGAACTACACAAAAAGGATTTAAAAAGAAGCTGAAATAAGCCCCTAAGTTGGCCTCATTGAGAAGAGATTGCAGTTAAATTTTTTTCATTATTATAAAGAGCTATATGTATCTTTGTTCATAATTTTTGTCTAAACCTCTGAAATTTTTCTTGGATGCATTCCTAGAAAGGGAATTAATGGGTTTAAGATAATATTTTAAAGCATTGTCATCCTATAGCCAAATAGCTATACAGAACTATATTTTAAAGCAATTTATGCACATACCAGCAGAATTCAAGTTATTATTTCAATGTTCCATGCTATTAATATTTAACAAAATCAAAAAATAAATTGTCCAATTTTTTTGTTTTTTCATTATTGTTATTTTTGTTTGTATTTCTTGAATTGTTTGATGCACCACCCCCCTTTAAATATGTTAAATCATTTACTGTTTCAATTTATTATTTGTGTAAAAGGCTATTGATATTCTTTGTTTGGCTTGTCTATTTTATTTTTCTACTTTTTGTGTTCAACTGTATGCATGTTTTAAAAATGATATTCTAGGTTTGATACACATGATAAAATATTTTTTCTCATTTTTACATTCCTTTTTAAGATAAATTTTGGGAAGCTGATCATACATATTTTTGTATTTTATCAAGTCTCTAAATTCTTCTCATTGAATTTATTATATTGCTTGTGTAGGAATCTGTTTATAGACTAAAGTCAAACAATCACATGTATTTTCACCTAGAATTTATTGTTTCTCTTCCTCCTGCTTTATCTCCTTTTTTTATTACTGTTCAACTCTTTAATATACTTTCTATTTAATTGAGACAATAAGTTAGGCACTGATCTAGCATTATGTTTCCCCAGATAGGACTTCAAATGTCCCATAAACATATTATCTCCAGTGATTTATTATAATTTTATGTTGATAAACCGTCTTGTGAAACAATTGTTTCTCTACCATATATCCTGTTTCATTAATAGATGGAATCATCCTTGAGCATTCTAGAATATTAAGACAAGCAAATAATACATTATTAAAATGTTGCATGTGTATAATATGTTTTGATATAACAGTAAATAATCCAAATCCCCAAAGATAAAGAATTTTTACTTTTCTGAAATTTTATATAACGTAGTATAATCAGATTTTTAATTTTAACTAATATTTTAGGTAGGTAGGGGTATATGATTGCCAATTTAATTTGAATTTTTTTACTTTTTAACCATTTTTCTTATATATTTATGTTCTTATTTATCATTCATGTATCTTTGTTAAAGGGTTCAAACATTTATTTTATTGTTGAGTTTTCTTCTTCACTGAGTTTTAAGTGTAACTTAGAAGTTCTGTACACAATTTCTTTACCCATTTATATTTGAAAACATCCTCTCACAGTTTTGCTTGGTTCTTCAATGCATTGAGCCTCTTTTGAAAATGAATTTTTAAAAAATATTTATACATTGAATTTATCTTCATTCTAAATTACAGCTCATGCCCTTTGAGCATTATTTTAAGCTTTCCTGATTCAATGTCACAACATTCGTTGGTCCATTTTGTGCCTGTGTTCTTCCTCAACTTTTGAAGTTGACCACTTACATTTGGGTTTATGATTTAACTTTTAAGACGTAAAACTTTTTCTGTTTTTGATGTGGACTCCAATTACTTCAATATTATTTGTAGAAAACTATCATTTTCTCATTCATTTCCTTGGGATCTTTGGCAAAAATCAATTGACTGTATATGTGTTTATTAATTTTTGTACTTTCTATTTCGTCCCATGCTTCTGTATGTCTGTCCTCCAATACCACACTGTCTTTATGACTATACTTTATAGTGAGTCTTGAAGCAGGAAAAGTAAGTCCTCTATGTACTTCTCTTTAGTAAATAAAAAATAAATTAAAAGCTTTTCTACTTTCTTTATAGTTTCAAAATCAGTTTAGAATACCCCTGCCAAGTATAATTGGAGTAATTTACAATCTCACCAACAGTCTGATTTGGTTTTCTTCACATTCTCATCAACACTTTTTATCTTTCATCATTTTGGATAGTAGCCGTTCTGACTTGTGTGACTATCTCATTGTAGTTTAATTTGTATTTCACCAATATTTAGTGATGTTGATTATTTTTTCATATATCTGTTTGCCGTTTGCATTTAGGAGCAGTTTCTTTTGAGAAACATCTATTTAGGTGCATTGACTACTTTTAATTGAGTCATTTGTTGTCTTGCTCTTGATTTGTTCCACAGAAAACTGTAGGGAGGTTCCTTAAAAACCTAAAAATAGAATTACTATATGATCTAGCAACTCTACTTCGGGGTCTATATCCGATGTATTTTATAAACATAAATACGTTGAAGAGCTATCTGCACTTCTATATTCATTGCAGGATAGGTTACAATAGCCAAGTTATGGAATCAAACCAAGTGTCCATAAACAAATCAATGGATAAACAAAATGTGATACACACTCACACACTCTTTATATGTAGTATATATATATATATATACACACACGTGCACACACACGCACACACACAACACACCCAATGGAATACCATTAAATCTTTAAAAAGAGGGAAATCCTATCATTTGTGACAACATTGATGAACCTGAGGACATTATGCTAAGTGAAATAAGCCAGGCACAGAAAGACAAATAGTACCTGTTTTTACTTATATGAGGAATCTTAAACAATTGAACTCATAAAGGCAGTGACTAGAATGATTATGATCAGAGGCTGGGGACTGGGGAGAATTGGGAGATATCAAAGGGTACAGTGTTTTAGTTAGATAGGAGAAATAAGTGATAAGTATTTGAGGTGATGATGTAGCAATTACCAATATTATTTCATATTATACATGTATCTGTTTTAAAAACTTAAAAATATGTAGCATAGTGAGACATCATTGGAATTTAATAAAGCTAGCTACTAATCTTTTTAATAAGGCTTTAGTTAAACATGTATAAATTTCTGGATAATTGAAATCTTAACATTATTGTATCTTTAGTTTCCTTAACATATATTTCCATTTATATAGGCCTTCTTTAGCTGTCAATAATGTTTCATAGAATATCTCAACAATCTATATTTTGGTAAATTTAGCCATACATACTACATGTGTTGGATGTTATCATAAATGATACAATTTCCAAATGCTTATTGCTAGTATAAGCAAATATCATTGATTTTCTTTAATAATCTTGTGTCCTGTAGTTTTATTAAATTTATTTATTTGTTCCAATAGCCATTTTGTATATTCTTCAACATTGCCTGTACACTCAGTTGTGTCATAATTTATCTGTAAAGAGAGTATTATTTCATCTCTCCTTATCTGCGTGCTTTTTGTATCTTTTTTTCAGCTTTATTACACTGGCTGGGGGCTCTAGTAAAATGTTACAGGTGGTAAGAATAAACGTTCTTGCTTTTTCCAGGTATTACAGGAAACTTATTCAGTTTTTCACCATTAAGTTTAATGATAATTGCTGGTTGTGTGCAAATCCCTGTATTGGTTTGCTAAGGTTGCTGCCAAAAAGTATCACAGAAATTTATTTCCTCACAGTTCTGGAGGCGAAGAAGCTGAACTCTAGATGTCACCACATTTGGTTACAGCTGTGAGGGAAGGATCAGTTCCAGGCTTCTCTCTTTGGTTTCCAAGTGGCTTTATCCTCTTTGTGTCTTCACAAGGTTTTCCTTCTGTACGTGTCTGTGTTTCAATTTTCTCTTCTCATGAGGACATAAATCATATTGGAATATGGCCCACTTGAATGAACTCATTATAGCTTAATTATCTCTGTAAAGACCCGATCTCCAAATATGATTACATTTGGGGGCACTGAGGATTTGAATTTCAACATATGGAATTCAGGAGAGGGAAGCAATTTAGCCCATAATGACACCTTTATTAAGTTAATACAATTATAAGACTATGTTTATGAATGATTGCTGCATTTTTGTCAAATGCTTTTTCTCTGTATCTATTGAAATGATTCTTTGGATTTTCTTTAGTAGCCTATCTGCACACTGAATTATATTAAGTGATTTTCTAATATTTAAACAAAGCTCACTTTTTGTAATTTACTACCTATATTTAATATTGCTGTATATGACTAGCTAAGATTTTGTTGAAGATTTTGGTGTATATTTCCTTAGGGATATTATCCTTTAGGTTTCTTTCCTTTTATGTATTTTTTCTGGTTTGGTAACAGAGTAATGCCGACCCTGTAAAATGAGCTGCAAAGTGCATCTTCTTAACTTGTATAGAATTGATATTATTTCTTTCTTACATATGTAGTAGATTTTTAGCAGTGATAGATAGATTTTGGCAGTAGTAAATTTTTATCTTGCCTTGGAAATTTTTAAGGAAGCATTTTAACTATAAGTAAATTTTATTAATCCATAAATAACCCTTCTGTTTATCTATATTTTTCTTAAATTAGCTATGGTAGTTTTACTGTGTGTCAAAAATGGAAAAGTAAGTCAACAGATGTTCTAGAAAAAAAAGGAAAGTCTGTCCTTCAGGCTTTCTGTGGACTAAATATTTGTATATCCCCAAAATTCATATGTTGAAAGGCTAATTCCCAATGTGATGATATTTAAAGGTGAGGTCTTGCAAAGTAGTAGTTCATAATTAATATTCTTATAAAAAAAGGAGTAGACATGGGCTAACTCTCTCTGCACCCTACGATAAGGACACAGAAAGAAGAGGCCCATCTGTAAACCAGGAAAAGGACCCTCATCAAACTGAGCTCTGCCAACACACTGATCTTGGACTTCCCAGCCTCCAGAATTGTGAGAAATAAATGTGTGTGTGTGTGTGTGTGTGTGTGTGTGTGTGTGTGTGTTTAATATCCAGTATATGATAATCTGTTGTTGCAGGCTGATCTGTGGAGTTGAAGGCTGGGGAAGCATTTGTTGAGATAGTTTTGTCCTTTCATTTCCTCTCCAAGCCATATTCCCACATATCTAAGAATGTTAAAAGAATTCCTAGAGCTGAGATATTTTGCCCCACTTCATTTTGAGGTTATGCAAAGGATTCCTCAAAGTTACCCTTGAAGTATCCTAGTACTGTCCAATACATAAGCAAAGACAGAAAGCCTGTGTTATTTTCTTCAGACATCTTCCTACCAAAGAGGTTTTGTTTGACTTCAGGACATATGAGAGATATCTAGTCACTTGCTCTCCTTCTTAAATACTAAGGTAATAACCACAGGTTCACATTTTGTCTCCCTAGAAAGTATTAGAGATGCCAAAGTTTTCCTCTTAGCTAGAAAATGCATTTTCATTTTCTGAACTTACTATCTATGATCCCATAAAAGTAAACAGTTAAATAATTTAGTTCAAAAGGTACAAATTATGAATTCCGTGTGGTAATTATACATTCTTTACCTTTAATGAGGTGTGTGTATGTAACTGGCTATGGTGAAACAAATTTCAGAGGCATGGGCCAAAAATAAATATCATTGTATGTTTTTTCATGAAACCTAGTATTGAGTTTTTATACCTAAGTCACAGTTTTTCTAAACTTTTATAGCATAGTAGTATGTGCACAAAATATTTTTAGCTAAAGCTTAATATTTTAATTTTCAAAATCATTATTTGAATTTTAAATAGATTGCATCATTAAAATCAATAATTACATTTTAAACAGATAAATGTAAACAAAATTTGAACTCTATTTGTGTGTGTTTAATAGTATACAAGAAAATAAGGCCGGGTGCGGTGGTTCACGCTTGTAATCCCAGCACTTTGGGAGGCCGAGGTGTGCGGATCACGAAGCCAGGAGATCGAGACCATGGTGAAACCCCGTCTCTACTAAAAACACAAAAAATTAGCCGAGCGTGGTGGTGGGCGCCTGTAGTCCCAGCTACTAGGGAGGCTGAAGCAGGAGTACGGCGTGAACCCAGGAGGCGGAGCTTGCAGTGAGTCGAGATCGCACCACTGCACTCCAGCTTGGGTGACAGAGCGAGACATCGTTTCAAAAAAGAAAAGAAAAGAAAAGAAAATATCACCTGTACATCTACAAAAAGCATTTTTTAACCAATAGAATATAATGTTGCTCTCAAGATATATATTTAGTGTAATTCTAGAGTCATATAAACAAATCATTCTTTGAAGCTTGAAAACATGACTACTACTTGCTTTTGGTTTTACATTTTCAAGTTGGAACTTCCAAAATACTTTTAACACAACCAAAATTCTCTCCATAAAGTAGTAAAGAGTTTATGTTATAGGCTGTAAATAACAATTTTAGAAAAGACTCTAGCAGAGATACAGCATGAAGAATTATCCTTAAGAATGATATTTATGCTTTATCTGTATTCTCTGATTCTCAACATGTTTTAATTCATTTCACTTTATTTTAGACACAATCTGATAAACTTCCACAGATGTATTTGACAGTCTCCAAAGCAATTACTGAGATTGCTTTTGGACTCTTTAAAACATGTTTAGTAAACAGAATAATGGAGTATTTCTGGTCTTTCTTTTTAGGTGTCCTATATTTAATTGCATTTCTAATTTCTTATCAAAGTTCATTTTTCTTTATTTTTTTATACAGGCCTTATATATAATTTTTATTTTACATTTTATGTTATTTTCTTAATGATTGATAATGAGAATAATTGACATTATCAATAGTGTCAATAAATGTTATTGATAATGTCAATTTTTGACATTATCAATCATTAAAGAAATAACATAGAAATACAATCAAACAAAGAGTAGTGGGATTTTAACTCACAAATAATAATCCTGCTCTGATATTCTTTTTTTTTAAATAATTTACCCATAAAATTTTAACTAACTTAACCTAAATTTGTTTTGTGAAATACTGATATCTGCATAAATATATAAAAATATTAAATAATACTTGATAAAATAATAAACTCCTATTGATGTATTTCAGCTGTAGTTTTTATCTATGAAAATGTAAAGATATTTATTTTTACTCATATTTCATGCTTCTATAAATAAGAGCCATCTTATAATCAATGTGTAATTATTTTTTACCTGAATATATTTTATTAAACAAAACCATGCTTCAGAATTAACATTATCTTAGAATTAAAGTAATATGTCCCTAAAATATCGAATACCATTAACAGAGTTATATTTTCAAATATTTAGCATCCATCACTGTACATTAAGCAGATGTTTTCATTTAGCTGTAGGATGGCCATATGATCACATTTTCCTAGTTGTGAATACAAAGGCAATATGAGATATCATGTTGATTTAGTGTAGTGGCTGTGGAGACAGATTGGTAGGCAAATCAAGTTCTAAACTCTCTGGCTTGATTTCTTTATATGTAAAGTGAGGATAACTATATAATAGAGTTCTTATGAGTATGAAATGACCCAACACCTCTCCTAGTCAACATAGTGTTGGAAGTCCTGGCTAGAGCAATGAGGCAAGAGAGAGAAATAAAGTGCATTGAAATAGGAAGAGAGGAAGTCAAACTATCCCTATTGGCGGATGACGTTATTCTACATGTAGAAAAACCCGTAGTCTTGGCCAAAAGCTCCTTCAGCTGATGCATAACTGAAGCAATCTTTCAGGATATAAATATACAAAATCACTAGCATTCGTATACACCAACAACAGCTAAGCTGAGAGCCAAATCAGGAATGCAATGACATTCACAATTGCCAAAGAGTGAACAAAATACATAGGAACATACCAAACAGGGAAATGAAAGATCTCTGCAATGAGAATTACAAAACACTGCTCCAAGAAATTAGAGACAACAGAAAAGGGGAAAAGCATTCCATGCTCATGGATAGGAAGAATCAATATCATTAAAATGTCCATAATGCCCAAAGTAATTTATAGATTCAGTGCTATTCCTACTAAACTACCAATGACATACTTCTCAGAACTAGACAACTATTGTAAAATTCATATGTAACCCAGAAAGAGCCCAAATAGACAAAGCAATCCTAAGCAAAAAGAACAAAGCTGAAGGCATCATGTTACCTGACTTAAAACTATATACTACAGGGCTACAGTAACCAAAACAGCATAGTACTGGTACAAAAAAAGACACATACCCCAGTGGAGGAGAATAGAGATCCCAGAAATAAGACCAAACACCTACAACCATCTGAGGTTCAACAAAGTTTACAAAAACAAGCCAGAGGGAAAAGACTCCTTATTAAATAAATGGTGCTGGGCTAACTGGCTAGCCACATACAGAAGATTTAAACTGGCCTACTTCCTTGCACCACATACAAAAATCAACTCAAGATAGTTTATGACTTAAAACATAAAACCTAAAACTATAAAATCTCTGAAAGACAACAAAGGCAATACCATCCTGGGCACAGGAACAGGGAAAGATTTCATGATGACGATGCCAAAAGCAATCTCCACAAAAGCAAAAATTGACAAATGACATCTAAAAAGTGACTGCACTGCAAAATACTCTATCAACAAAGTAAACAGACAAACTACAGAATGGGAGAAAATGGCTATTATTAAAAAGATGAAAAGTAAGAGATGCTGGTGAGGCTGCAGAGAAAAGGAAACACTTATACACTGTTTTGGGGAGTGTAAATTAGTTTAACCATCACAGAAAGCAATGTGGTGATTCCTCAAATGGCTAAAAACAGAACTACTATGTGACCCAGCAATCTCATTACTGGGTATATACCCAGAAGAATATAAATCATTGTACCATGAAGACACATGCACATGAATGTTCATTGCAGAACTATTCACAAAAGCAAAAACATTGAATCAACCTAAATGCCCATTAACAACAGATTGGATAAAGAAAATATGGTACATATACATCATGAAATACCATGCAGCCATAAAAAAGAAGGAGATCATGTACTTTGCAGTAACATAGATAGAGCTGGAGGTCATTACCCTTTGCAAACTAACACAGGAAGAGAAAATCAAATACCACACGTTCTGACTTATAAGTGGGAGCTAAATGATGAGAACTCATTAACACAAAAAAGGAAATGACAGACACTGGGGCCTAATTGAGGGTGGAGAGTGGGAGGAGCAACAAGAGCAAAAAAATTAACTGTTGGGTATTAGGCTAGGACCAGAGACACAAGTTTACCTATGTAACACAACTTGACATGTACCCCGGACCTAAAATACACGTTTTTAAAAAAATGACTAAATTCATGTAAATATGAATACAAACTTAAATCACTGTAAATATGTACCCTCTATAAAACATAAGATTTGATCATTTCTGATTAATTCCTATTATGACTTTGAAGTTTCCAAGAGTGTTATTTAAAGGCAGATAATACTTTGGCAGCTTTGTATGTGTACTCATTTCAAATGTCAGTACTGACTTTCTAACCCGAAAGGCATTGTCAAATAGGTTTTGCTTTGATTGACTAAACTTAAGAACAGCTTCATTTAAATTAAAGTGAATGTAATAAGTTAAATTTACTAAATAAGCCAATCACACACATTAAAAAATGTTGCAGAAAATTAAAATGTGCTCCCTCTGCTTACTCTTGATTCTAAGGAAAAGTATCAAATGGTTGTCCCAATATTTGCTTGCATGTACATTAAATCATATATATCTATAATCTACATAAATATCTCTCTATATGACTATTGTTTAATAAATATGTAATTTTATTAATAATATTAAACTAGAGTTTAATAAATATGTATTAAATTGATGAGGAATTTTGAAAGAATAGGTTATCATTTACCCAAACAGTAGGCACCACTTGATACCTTAAAGGAAACTGAAGAATATGATACTTTTAATTCTGGAAGATTGAAAATTAGCATATAAACATAAATTGGATATTTCAAAAACTACTGAAGTCCCATTTTGTTGAGCTGAATATGTCAAGTCATATTAGATTTTCCAATTCATCACAAGGACAGGAATAGCAAAAGCCTTAAGCCACCAAAGTGAATTTATAAGCAAATACTGAGTGCTTAATACAATACACTGGGCTGTATATTATCTGTATGCTAAAAGAAAATGTAACACTCCAGGGGGAAAAAATCATGTACACATTAAACCTTTTGAGAAGAATGCATGGCTATATATAAACAAGGGGTAAATTACAGTTCTGGTTATCTATTACATTTAAAAAATTAGTGACTATAAATAAAATGTTTTATTAGTTTCTTTTTATGATGATATTGCCTACTAATACTTGTAATACTTATGACTACAAAGATGATTCATCTCAGTAAAATCAAATAAATTTTCAGAATGACATAAAGTATTATTGAGATTTTTTTAATATGCTAATATTTAGGTAGGTGATTAAGTTTTACTTCTAGACTGAGCAATGAGTCTTTGGCTATCTACGAGATTGTTATCTAACATCTCTGATAAATTAAAACAATATTATCTTCTGTATATTTTACTTTATTTTCAAATAGAATATACATTCTGTGTGCTTGTAGTGGAAAGCCAAATACTCTGGATATCAAGAGACTAGATTTTTCTCACCACAGTTCTGATATTTTCTTTAGAAAAGTTGTTTTTTTTCTGGAACTCATTAGAATTATTTTTAAAATAAGGTTTCAGAGTAGATGAGCTCAAGAAGCTTTTTTTTTCTTTAAGTAAACGTAAACGTGACAGTGAATATTGAGTGTCAACTTGATTAAATTGAAGGATGCAAAGTATTGTTCCTGGGTGTGTCTGTGAGGGTGTTGCCAAAGGAGATTAACATTTGAGTCAGTAGACTGAGAAAGGCAGACCCACCCTCAATCTAGGTGGATACAATCTAATTAGCTGCCAGCACAGCCAGATTAAAAGCAGACAGAAGAACGTGAAAAGGCTAGACTGGCTAAGCATCCCAGCCTACCTCTTTCTCCCATGCTAGATGCTTCCTGCCCTCAAATATCAGAATCCAAGTTCTTCAGCTTTGGGACTCAGAGTGCCCTCCTTGCTCCTCAGCTTGCAAACAGCCTTTTGTGGGACCTTACCCTGTGACTGTGTGATCAATACTCCTTAATGAATGCCCCTTTATATATACATCTATCCTATTAGTTCTGTCCCTCCAGAGAACCCAGACTAATACAGTAAACGGTCAGATATGTGAAATAGATTTTTTTAAGTTACTAGATGTAAAAGAATACTTTAAAAAAACATATTGTTTTGCTTTATACCATAAATATTTAGAAAATGAAATTTTAAAGAAATTATTTGTAGTAGCATTGAATATATCAAATACTTGGAAATGAATCTAATAAAAGATGTTTAGAACCTACAACACACATATACACACAAAACATCTATAACTAGAAATTAAACAATAACTAAGCAAATTGAGGAAAATATTTTCATAGATTAAAAGATTAAATTTTGTTAATAGTTTTTCTTAAGTGCCTCTACAGAGTAAATTTAATTCCTTTTATAATTGCTTGTTTTTATTTGAAACTGATAAACTGATTCTCAAATATGCATGGAATAAAATGGGCAAAATAGCCAAGGCAATTATGTAAAACAACAAATCTAAGGAATGTATATTACCAGATTTAAAAAAAATGAGAATGTGCTATTGCTATAAGAATATGCAAAGAGACCAATGGAAAATTATTTGTAGATTAGGGACAGATGACATATAAATGATTTCATGATTATGATAAAAAGGATAGTACTATATAAAGAAAAGGTAAGTGTTTTCAAATTTGATGCTGATTGAATAAATTTTTGAAAATTGCTGGGTGTGGTGGCTCATGCATGTAATCCCAACACTTTGGGAGACCAAGGTGGGTGGATCACTTGAGGTCAGGAGTTGGAGACCAGCCTGACTAACATGGTGAAACCCCATCTCTACTAAAAATACAAAGTTAGCTGGGCATGGTGGTGCATGCCTGTAATCCCAGCTACTTGGGAGGCTGAGTTAGGAGAATCCCTTGAACCCAGGAAGCAGAGGTTGCAGTGAGCCAAGATAGTGCCATTACACTCCAGCCTGGGCAACAGAGCAATACTCTGTCTCAAAAAAAAAAAAAAGGAAGAAAGAAAAAGAAAATATTTATCTTTACCCCTACCTCACACTGTAGATACAAATCAATGATATAAATATATAAATGTAGAATTAAATCTTTATGAATCTGGCAGGAACAGATTTTTAACAAGGACTCCATAAGTGAAAATCATCAAGGCATAAAATCAATAATTAGACTACAATCTAACTATAGTTTAAAAAAACTATTAAAAGAAATATGCATTTAGACTTTCCCACTATTTTTCAGTTTGCCTCCCCCCAGTGGCATGGGTTTGCTCTGAACCTGCTTTTGGGGTGTGTCTGCTTTGTCCTCTCTGTCAGATGAGGCTCAGAGAGGTGAAGGCACTTGAGCTGGGGAGTGACAGTCAGATCTCAAGTCCCTGCTTTTTCTAAAACATGTTGCCTTCAGAAAAGAAGAGCTAGAAGGATGAAAATTACTTAGAAAGATGAATACCAACTTTGAAAAAATGAAACATGAAGAGGAATTGAAGGAGTTGAGGCACAAACTTGAACAGGGCTGCATGTTTGGCCCGTGATTATAAACACTTATCGCCGCACCTGCTCCTCTTACTTGAAGAGTTGCAGCAGAAGGAGCAGAGGCCTGAGATTCCAGAGAGCTGGGTTCCCTCTCCATCTCTGCGGGGACACCACTTCTTGTGGGCCCTTGGGCAAGTCACTGCACTCTCTGAGTCTCAGTTTCCCCATTTGCAGGATAACTACCTGCAATAACTACCCCTTTCTGCCAAGTTAGAATTGCTTTGCGGATCTGATAAGGTGGTGTGGATGATGCTGTTTTGGGGGCTTTAAAGTATAAACCTGGGCTTATTTACTCCAGAAGTGGGCAGGACAGAATTCTGATGAGAGTTCTTTTCTTTTTCCCCTTTTTTCCTTTCCAATCTCTTAGTTTTATTTCTGTTATTTTACAATGTCCCTATAAGATGAAACAAGTGATGCTGAATTTTTTTTTTCAACTTTTATTTTAGAATCAGGATACATGTGCAGGTTTGTTACATAGGTATATTGTTGGATGCTGAGGTTTGGATTATGAGTGAATTAATCACAGAAGGGTGAGAATAATGTCCAATAAGTAGTTTTTTTCAGCTCTTAGTCCCTTTCCTACCCCTTCTTATATTCACCAGTGTCTGTTGTTCCCATTTTTATGACCATGTGTACTTGCTGTTTAGCTCCCACTTATAAGTGGGAAAGTGCAGGATTTGGTTTCCTGTTTCTGTGTTAGTTTGCTTGAAGTGGTGGCCTCCGGCTGCAACCATATTGCTGCAAAGGACATGATTTCATTCTTTTGTGTGGCTGCATGGTGTTCTATGGTGTGTATGTACCATATTTTCTTTATCAAATCCACTGTAGTTGGCCACCTGGGTTGATTCCATGTCTGGTGCTATTGTGAATAATGCTGCAGTGAATATGCGGCTGCATGTGTCTTGTGGTAGAACGGTTTATTTTCCTTTGAGTATGTACCCATTATTGAGATGATGCTGAAATATTTAAAATAGAAATGAAAATCTTCCTGTGCTCCCCCAAGCCCCTCCATCCTACACTGCAGAGACAGCCATTGTTTGTGGTTTAGTACGCTTCCTTCCAGGCTTTAAATAAACAAAACCCATGCATTAAAAAAAAAAGAATTTGCAGTAGGCTTATTAATTAATCTTATGAATAATTAATCAGGATAAAAAGCAGGTAAGGAAAAAAATGAGAAACCAAAAGAAAACTGGTTCAATGACTTGAATAGATAGAAGTTGTACATAAAAAGAATAACCAATAGCCAATACACACATGTAGAGGTCCTCAACATCATTAGACATCAAGAAAATGAAAATTAAAATTATGTAAGATATCTCTACACATGCACTAGCATTAATAACATAAAACATATAATTGCAAAGTTTTTATAAAACAGAGGAGCAACTGGAATGTTAACACACTTCTGATAGTAGTACAAATTGGATTCAACCCTTTAGAAAAATGCTTGGAATTATCTACTATAAACAAGTAATTCCAATCCTGTGCAAATACCCAAATAAATATTTAAATTCATTAAAATACATGCACAAGAATGGCATAGCAGTATAATGTGTAACAGCCCCAAACTGGAAAATTTATAAATACTAATTTACAACAAAATGATAAAGTAATTGTGGTATTATTATACCATATAAATACATTGTTATAAAGTATTGAGGATAAACAGTTTTAATACTGTGTGTACAACATTTATAAATATATTCATTAAAAGATAAGGACATGAGTACTGTTTCGTTTCATTTATATAAAATTAAAAAACCGAATAATATAATATTTGACTATGGATGTAAAAATAGGGGTTTCCTTTGGGGAGACTAGCGACTAGGGAAGTAAACAATGGCCACCTCTGAAATGCCAGTGATTTCATGTTCTCTCTCTCTCCTTTTCTCTCTCTGTCTCTGTGTGTGTGTGTGTGTGTGTGTGTGTGTGTGTGTGTGTGTATCCTAATCCCAGTGGTTTCACGGGCATATTCACTTTTGAAACTCATTAAACTGTGACATTATAATTTGTGCACAATCATTTATTCATATTTTATAATAAAATTATCTGAGTAAGAAAACTCCGAGTCAATCTAATACTGACAAACTATACAAGAAGAGAAGTTAAGATAAAAATAAAGCATTATTTGATAAAAAAATAGAAATGATAGTGTAATCCAGCTGTCATTTGTAAATTTTTAAAAACCATATAAAATAAAATTAATTACCCACTTTAAAATTCAAATGGTAGAGAGTTGAATACTTATGAGGTGTCTCCTAACCATATTTGAAATTAAGCAATTTAGGGAAAACAAAACATATAGAAGAATGGAATTATTTTAATAATTACGATATATTTTTATGACTTTGTAATTAAGTTGCCCCATAATCATGGGATATAGGTGTATCATAAACTTAGATATGATTTAAGGACTTTTCTAAATACTACCCTATTCTGTAATCTTGTGAAAAAAATGATAAGCTGAAGATTTTCTGAATATTATAATGACCAATTATTTTTGTTTCCTCAAATTGTCCTATATCTATATGGACTTACCTTTACTTAGCAGAACACAGCATTTATCAATTCAAGGAAAGTTAGTCTTTGCCATTTTCCATGTAGTTAGTTTTGCCATTGGTAGTTTTACCAAATGGTAGTTTTACCATTAACCATGTAGTTAATCATACACCTAATCTAAGACCTAAAATTATAAAACTTCTGAAAGATAATATAGAAGAAAATATTCAGGATCTTGGTTTGGGAAAAAATTTCATAAATTGATATGAAAATTATGAAGCATAAAAGAGGTAAACTATACTTTATCAAATGAAAATGTCTCCTTTTTAAATGCTTCTTAACAAAATAAAATAATAAAAACCATTTTCACTTAAAAAATATAAAAATATTATGTAACCAGAGTAAAAGAACAGCTTTGTATGTTTCAGACAATACGTACGTGCCCATTTAACCTGTGAGGTCTTGGGCAGTAAGATGTAGACCGTAGTTACTACGAATTTTACAATTATACAGCATTCTGGGTCTTGAAGTTACAGAACAAACATAAACAATCATTTTACTAAACTCTAATACCCAGACTTCCTTTGAATTTTCATTCTCTACCATATTTCAAAAACATCCATTCAAATACTTAGTGCTGTTTTTGTTAGTTAAGTGTCTTCCCAGTATTCATGAAATGAGTTTTATAGTGGGATAAAATACAATGTATAAGTTAGTTTGTTACTTATGTCAACCACAAAATAGCAAATGTTTTCTAAATTAGGCCACTATTCTCTAATGCAAACATAAAAATGTTGAACAAACCTGTATTTTATTCAGTATTCTGAAAAGAACATTGTTACTATATTTTGTATATCTTGCTATGACTCAAGAAATAGATAATTCCTTAGAAAAAGATGCCACCTGAAGCTATAGTAAATTATGATTCTAATTTATTATATCAATTAAGCATGGTCATATATGCCAATCTTGCTTGAAATAGAGTAGAATTTATTGTAGCAAAGTAGAAGTACATGTTTAGCTGAAAAACTGAGCTCTGATTTTCCTTTTCATGAATTCATAATGTGGATGTTACCACCACAAACACTGTAGCTAATCTTTTTTCTATTAAATTATCCTGAACAGAGGATAAAGAGGTAATATATATGAAGTGTTTTCTAATTTACTAGGTGTTGGAACACACTTTATATAATCAAATGTTATTTATTTCATACAACAATCTTACAATAAGTAATTGGTCTTAAGAGAAGAAAAGTTACAATTTGAACATCACTCAGAGAGGAATTGATAGATTGGAGGTGCTAAACCATTGTCTTTCTGGCCACAAATTTCACTTTTTTTCCCCCAATACACAATGTGAATTTTCCCCATCAAGAACACACTAATCTGGCCTACGGTTAGACATCAGTGTATTGATCTAAGGGTGGACAGATAGATCAATATACTAGAAAGAAGAGTTCAGAAATAAATTGCATATATGGTCTATTCATTTAAACAAAGCAGTCAATTTAAGAGGAAAAGATTGTCGTTGCAACAATGAGTGCTGAAAAATTTGGTATCTATGAGCAATAAAATGGACACTTTTTAAAAATAAATTATACTGTATATATTTAAGATATAAGCTATGAAGTTATGTGATACATATGTATAAAAAGGTTACTACAATGAAGCAAATTAACACATCTATCATCTCACATATTTACCCAATTTTGTTTTTGTTTTTGTGACAAGAAAAGCTAAAATCTATTCATTTAGCATGAATCGCAAATATAGGACAACTATTACCTATAGTCCTCCTGTTGTACATTATACCTCTAGATTTGTTCATCCTACATAAATACCACTTTGTATCTTCTGACCTACATCTACTCACACCACAAATGTCTTAAAGTTAATCATACATCTAATCCAAGAGCCTAAATTATAAAACTTCTGAAAGATAATACAGGAGAAAATATTCAAGATCTTAGATTGGAAGAAAATTTCATAGATTAATATGAAAATTATGAAGCATAAAAATGTTAAACTAGACTTTATCAAATGAAAACATTTCCTTCTTAAATGTTCCTTAACAAAATAAAAAAATAAAGACACAAATTAAGAGAGAATATTTGCAAAACATAAATGATAAATGATTCTTCCCAGTTATAAAAGAAGCATTTTAATACTAATGCACAGATAAACCATCAAATAAATACAGTGGACAAAATAATTGCATACAAACTTTACCTTACGTATGCAAAAAGACAATAAGCATATGGAAAGATGCTTTACATCAATTGCCATTAGAAACATGCAAACTAAAACCATATGGGTTACTACTTCATATCTACTATGGTGATTTTTTTTTATTGACAATACCAAGTATTAAACAGAAGGTGGAGCTTCTGGAACTCTTACATATTTCTTTTAAGAATTCAAAATTGTACAGCTACTTTTGGAAAATAATGTAGCAGTTTCCTATAAAGTGAAATGATATGGTTTGACTCTGTTTCCCCACCCAAATTCCATGTTGAATTGTGATCTTCAATGTTGGAGAAGAGGTGTAGTGGGAGGTGATTGGATCACAAAGGCAGATTTCCTCCTTGCTGTTCTCGTGATAGTGAGTTCTCACAAGATCTGGTTGTTTGAAAGTGTGTTGCACTTTCCACTTCATAATCTCTCTCTCTTGCTGCCATGTGAAGAGATGCTTACTTCCCCTTGGTGTTCTGCCGTAATTGTAAGTTTCCTGAGGCCTCCCAGCCATGCTCCCTGTACAGCCTGTGGAACTGTGAGCCAATTAAACCTCTTTTCTTTATAAATTACCCAGTATCAGGTAGTTCTTTATAGCAGTGCCATTAGGTTGGTGCAAAAGTAATTTGCCATTAAAAGTAATGGCAAAACACCAATTACTTTTGCACCAACTTAATAGAACCGACCAATACACTAAACATATTTCAATCCAGTAATCTCAAAAATCCTTTCAATAGAAAAGAAAGCATATGATCACACAAAGATTTGCACATTATTGTATATAGCGTCTTTATTTACAATAGCCAAATCCTGGAATCAACCAAATGTCTATCAACTTATGAACAGATAGTTGGTTCTATAGAGTAATACGTATTAAAAAAGGAAGATACCACTGAAACATACATGAACTTGAAAAACACAATTTCAGAAGTTGAACACATAAGACTGCATTTATATGATTCATTTATATAACATTTTTAAAGACACTAAAGTTATTTTGAAATAATGCAGAACTGTAGTTGGGATCTGAATATGTGGGGAGAGAATTGACTGTAAGTGGACATGAGAAAACTTCATGGTGGGGAGGATGTGTTCTACCTCATGAATCAAAGGGTGTTTATACAACAGCATGCATACATTTGTCAAAACTCATTCAATTATGTACTTGAAATTAGTAAATTTTACTGTTTGGAAAAGTATGCCTCTGTAATCCTGATTAAAACACCTAAGAGTGAGAATGATTGTTGTTCATAGCTAAACATAGGGTCAGTCAGAAAACGCTGGATAAATTCAACTTGCCATTGATACCTGGAAAGTCTAAGTGCTGTAAATAAGAAAAAAATAGTTTATTTTTGTTTATTAAAGACTGTCATATTAATTACTTTTGTATATAAAATAACCACACACATAGGGAAAGCCACATAAAGAAAAACAACCACTTCAAGTAAAGTCTGAAGAGAGATTTAAAATTTCGATATCTAAATCGATGTTAAAAATGACAAGAGTAAAGGATATGTCTAATCTAAGAAACTGTTGCTATAAAGTTTGTTTCAAAATGAAAGAAGAAGTTCTAAAGTTGCAGAGGATGTTACCACAGCTTGAGTTTCTTGTGATTTTTAAATCATGTATCATATTTTAATGAGCAATGACTTCATATTTTTAATTACACTTCTGGCAGGAGGCTGTACAAGATATTATATCAAGGTCTCCTGTTGCAATGCAATTAGAATGTGGTCATCCCACAACACACTTAGATACTGTTGTGACATAGAAAAGTGCAAAATGTTTTCAAGAAAAAAGAAGGAGGGTGAGATGAAAGAAGAGGCAGAAAATAAATACAGAAAGAAGAAAAAGAAGCAAAACTAGGGCAAGGAGGAGGGGAGGAAAGAGGGTGGAAGAGAAAAGGGTTGAATAGGAGGAGAACTAATGAGTCAAACTGAGAGTGGGGTGAGCAGCAAACACTCCATTTGGGACTTCACCCAGGTGCAAATGCTGAAATCTGTAACAAGAGCTTCAGAGTAGTACAGGTGGCCTGAAATTGGTAACTCACATAAAACTAGGAATCTAAAACAATATGACATGCCTAGGGGCAGTATTAAATATATGATAAAAGGAGAGGTGTTCAGTCCTCCCTCTCACTTTATTGAGTTCACTAATTAGGCTTATGCAGAAATTGGATAGCCTTGGTCAACGACAGTACATTGTCATAAACAGGGGGTGACTCCAATTACAGCTGCTGTTCCAAATTTTGTCTCTTTTATAGAGCAAGTTAACACAGCCCCAGAATATGGTATGAAACTAATGAGCTGTCATTGCTTTTGCCTCCATGTCATTTAGCAAAGACCACCAGAAGCAATTTCAATGGACAGCAGAAACATATCACTGTCTTTCTCAGGCCCATGGCAATTCTTCCTAAAAGGAAGTGATACTGATTGTTTTATGCTCTCGCAGGACATCTTGGTTTAATGGCTAGCATCACGGCTAATGGACCTAGAAAGGAGGAAGTAGCAAAAGGCCATCATATACCATAAACATGGCAGAAAATGAAGTACACCTCACCAAATTCAGAGACTTCCATCTTGGTAAAATTTCTAAAGACTCAGTGGTCTAAGTTGTATTGAAATATGTGATATCTGCTTGTGATAAAAATGATAGTAGTAGTTGCAGAACTCAGTAAACTTACTAAAATTCATTTATTTTTGCTCTGTCAGACATTGTTAAAAAGAATGAAAGGGCAAGCCACAAAGAGAAAATATTTGCAAAACATTAATATAGTATAGGTCTTGATTGAAAAATATACAAATAGCTCTTAAAATTCAAAAACAAGATAGCAACCCAATTTAGAAAATGGGCCCTTTAGCCCACACAATCAAGGAATAATTCTCTTTAGTATTTACCCAAATAATTTGAACTTATTTCCATACAAAGACCTTCTCATGAGTGTTTGTGACAGCTTTATATACTTCTGTATTTTTCTTTGTATCCTTCTCTGGGACCCAGATTTTCATAACAGACATGATAGTATGGGCTTTACTGTGCTAGGCAATAAGAGATCACTTACCCAAAGAAGAAAGCCAAAAACATGTACGGAGTGAGACCAACAAATTCTAGAAATGAAGTCATAATGTGGAAGTGAGAAGATTTACTTCTCACAATGCTTTATAATGTATATTTTCTCATAGTATTGACCAGCTTACAGTGCTATGGGAGGGCTGGAGGGAGAGAAAGTTTTAGGTCTAAGTGCTAAAAAATAACAGGCCCTACACCGTTCACATTCCTTTTCTGGGATTACTGATGTTTTTATAACAAAAAAGAGAGGTATCCAAAATAAAAGGAAACTTCAGGGACCAGATTTTCCCTGTCCTCACTTGGAGATTCTTCTATAGAATTAACTGGAGGGAACAGCATTTTATTTCTTAAAAATTTGTTTGTGATTTATAAAGAAGGGAAGAGTGTTCTAGTGTGACACATTTTCCAGAGTATAATTTAAAATCCAGCCCCTAATGGATACATTTCCTAAAAGAAGCCTTTGTTACCCATAAGAGTTTACATATTCAAGAGATCCTAACCACCAATGAGGGACTTACTTTATTGTGGAATCTATACACAAATAGCTTGCCAGTTTGATTCACAATATGGAGTGGATCTGAATTTCTGGTTTGAAATTTTGTCCACAGTCTTCTACTAGACAACCCAGATTCTTTGACTCCCATAATTTCCCCAGAATTTTTTCCTACTGCATGCAGAAATATTAGGTAATTAAATATATTGTCTCTCATTCTTTGATTTGCAGATTGGTATTTGAGTAATTATGTGAAGCTCTCAGCTTTATGCTTCTGACTCAAAATAACAATACATCCTAAAAAATTGGGGTTATTTATGTGTGGGTCTAAGTAAGTATGCTTTCTTGGCAGTACTGATCTCCACATCTATTACACATACCATTTATAGTACCAAATACCTGGACAAATATTGGCTAATATCAATTAAAACTTTGAACTTTTTCAAATACCAAGTATTTGGTACTATTGGAAGATAAAACATAGAAAGAATAATTGGTGTTTGCATAAAATTTTAAAACATAAAATGCATTGAGATGCCCCATTAATACACAGAATATAAAATGGTGAATTGTATTAGAGTTTCTATCCATTCTGTATATTCTTATGAAAAATCATGAACATGTGAAAAACAGGTGAAATAATCTTGATTAGTTTTCTCAGTTGATGGATGTGATCCTTTTCCAATTTGGAGTTTCAAAAATTAAAATAATATTCTCTTTTCAAAGCACAAGGACACAGGATTCTAATAACATTGTTTAATGATTACCTTCAAGATAATTTAATATGTAATTCATTAATAATTTGCTTTTTTCAATATCTAGTTTTTTGTGTGTGTGCATTCCTGTTTTGATTGTTAATTTGCTAAGCTAGCAAAAAGTAGGAGGAAATTGGTTGGTTTGTCTTCTTCTTTTGAATGAGGTTTCTACAGGTTTTTAAGGGAATACTTGACATATCTATTACATACACATTTAAGACATAATCACATAGCAGAGATTATATTTGTATATTTGGCTCATACACATACACAAATGAACACACATACATTTTTCTTTTTTTCATGTGAAATAATTTCAAGTGTTTTTGAAAGTGAACAGATCTGATTGAAATAACCTTACATTGGAACAAAATCTCAAATACCTAGCAAGCCATTGTTTATTGAATATTTGCTTTGGGAAAGGTGTAGTAAGTTTCTAGGAAATAGAGACGAATAATGTATAGTTACTGCTCTTTATAAAAGGAATGCCTAATGGGGAAGACATGTATGTTGGTAAGTGATTACAATAGACTGTAGTCAGAACTACCCTGCATTTGTGTTATAATAACCATCCTTCACCAAGAAGTTGTTGCTTGTGTTCTTTATAAAGTGTGAGTACACTTTCATAAAAATAGAATATCAATCCAAGCAAAGAATATATGCTATGCACTAATGCGTGGGTTCATATTTAAGCTCCATTACTTCATAGATGTAGCTGCAAGATTATTTCCAGATAAGAAAACAATGGTGTTCTTTAGTGTTCTTATTTCAAAACTAAGGATAATAATGATGCCTGTCTCACATAAGATAGCTAACATGTGTAGACAAGCTTCTGACATATGGTTTAGTCTCAGTAAATGTTAACTTATTTATTTGTTTTATATTATTATCAAATAAAAATATCATTTTGCTAAAGGTTGCAATTGTTAGCTCCTATCTAGCGTCCTAGACAGGCAGTTCAGCCATCTTTCTGCCAGTTTTGTTGTGCCCTTCTCTCCGTTAGTTATTGGTAACACAATTCTGATCCTATATCCAAAAGTTTGACTTGTACTCTGTCCTAATAAGTTTTTCTCTGGTGGTCCTTTTGTCTTGAGTTTTTACCGTTATGAACCCAGATGAGCCATATATTGTACTAGGTTCTGAAGATACAATAATAAGCAAAGATCTACAGTGTCCCTCCCAATGAGTTTAACACGTAGTTCATGATGTCAATAATTTGGTAATATATATTAAAAAGCAATGCAGATAATATTACAATCTATAACAGGTGGACATGGTTTGCTAGGTAAAGGGAAGAGGGAGTATGAAAAGGTCAAAGATTTAAACCAAAGTCATTGTACCTGGAGTTAGCAAACCACGGAGAGACTACCATTAGATAAGGTGGAAGAGGTCGGTCAGGGCCTTGTCAGAAATGTTAAGATTTTTAGATTTTATTTATTATTGTTTTTTCTTTTTTAAAACTACGAGAGTTCTAAAGAATTATTGAAATACAGCGTGTGTGTGTGTGTATATATATATATGTATGTATATATATGTATATATGTGTGTGTGTATATATATACATATATATATATATATATATATATATATACACTTACGGATGTCTGGAGTGGAATCAATAACAAAATCAAATTTAAATTTTGAAGAGCTCAATATCCAATTCCTACAATATTACAGCCTTCTATTTTTCTTGTCAGATCTCTCCAAGAACATTAAGGACTTCCACCTGCTAATATTCCTCTTTGGCATCTTTTACTTCTCTGAATGAAAAGAGTGCCATGAAATTCCTAAATGTATTATTTATCCCTACATAGCAGACATACCTTCTCATGCTGGATGTCCATGACAGCATCTTTGAAAGTGTTTTCACTTAGCCTTTGCTATTATTCATTCCAGAAACATGCCAGTTGCTGTCTCCTCATACTTTTTCTAATCATTTTATTGGGTCCTGGCCCAAATGAATTGGTTTAACTTTTTATGTTCATATTTCTGATTTCAACCCAGCTATCCCACCACTCACTTAGCTTCTTAGATTCATTTTGGCATATTGAAAAGTCAACTAAATCTGAGCTCAAATTTAAGTGCCTACTTTCCTATATAAATTTTATCTCAGATTTAGTTCCTATATAAGGATTTAGTTCCTGTATAAGGATTTTTTTTCAATGTATACTATATGGAAATAGACATTTTAACTTATTTTACTGTATCTTTTCTAATCATTTGAAAGCAGAAATTGGAACGAGAACAACTACTGGGAATTAGCCTGAATTCTTGGAAACACTTAAATTTTCTGTATCTGATTTTAACCCGAGGGCAATGCTTTTGACAGCATTCCGTTTAGATTTGGCAGAAGAATGGAAGCATGCTGAAATCACTGCCTAGGGATTCACAGCCCTTTAATACAGAAGTGTTCCAGTTAGATTTGGTCAGAGATCACAGAAGTACATTTCCAGAGAATGCTACGAGGCATGAAATATCCTAATGAATACAGCAATGCAACCCCACAACCACTATTCAGCAAACATTATAGGTAGCCTACTATATTTCAGCTAATTCACTACACATTTGGGACATAAGGATTTTGAGGTTTTAGTCTCCTATTACAATTACAACTTTGACCTAGTTCTTTCCTCAAACACTTCATGTTTTAAAGGTACAAGAGGTACCTAATAATAGAATGTGAAAGTACCAGCCTAGCAATTTTACTAAAAAGTCTATGAGAATCTAGGGAAATAAGCTATTTGCCCAGGCAATGTGGGAGAGGGAAGGTATTACAGAGTAGGCACCATTTAATCTGGGTTGTAAAACATGAGCATGTACAGGAGTGGGAAATGCCATTTCAGTTAAAGGGAGCAGTACATGCCATAGCAGAGAGATATGAAATTGCATGGTGAAGCAACATCATCCAGGAGGACTAAAAATTATATGGAAGCCTAATTATATAAATAGCTACAGAATTAAAGATTTTGGAGTTAAAAAGACAGATTCGTGTCAGTTCACAGGTGATGCATCATTAGAATTGATGGCTTTGTTTCAAAATATTTCAGGCTTTGATTACATAAAGGTGGTTTTGGTTTGCAAATGACCTATTTTATAATCACAAAAATACATTCTTGAAAAATATAACAATATCCTAGGCCTCAAGTTATCTCTATTTTATGCCTTGTCAGGCCACATTTCAAAATAAACATGAATAATTAAAGGCATGGTATCATAATTGATGTGGAGAGGAAGAATAAACAGAGTTATCAGGTGCGGGTTCTAAAAAATAGTATGCTTGCTATCTTAGAGATTACTAACGACAAGATAGTGTATTCTTACAGCTCTATGCAAACTACAAAATTTTTTCATGAAAATTATAGATTTGAAAAATTTATAGGTGAAAGTACACTTTTAATGAATGGGTTTAACAAAGATTAAACACAACAGAAAAGATAGTCTGGCAACTAAAAAATAAGTAAAAAAGTACACAAAATACAGGAAAGCAAAAGTTTGACAAAGAGAGAAAAGTGAAAGAGATGCAGGAAATACAATTCATAATATATTATAGCATACTGATAATCTGAGTTCTCAAAGTACAGCAAGGAGAAAAAAATGTAAAGTACAGTATATAAAGATATGATGGCTCAGATTTCTCAAGAAACACATACACACACAAATAAAATCAAGAATTATTGCACACCCAAGAAGTATAAATAACAATAAAACCATATTTAGATATGTTACAGTAAAAAAATTTTAAATAAAAAGAAAAAAATCTTAAATACAGCCAGAGGAAAATATGTTCTACAGAGAAGATACAATAAGACTGACAGCTAGCTTCACAAGAAATAATGCAATTTCAGGAGATTTTTTTAAAAGGGCTATCTTCACAAGAGGAAAAAAACTGCTATCCTAGGATGCCATGCCCAGTGGAAATATATATATATATATATATATATATATATATATATATATATATGACATATTTTTATGAAAACTTGAATTCTGCTTCCAGCTAAAATGGAGTAACATGACCTGGAATTTCTCTTTCATTTGAAACAAGCAAAAATCAAACCAAATATATGAAACAACAGAGCTTTCAAGTTATTGGACATCAAGCAACAAAGGAAAGTGATCCCAGAGAGACAGGAAACCAATAAGTTCACCCCTGTGATTGTCCCAGCTCACTGCTTTGAGGAAATCTCCATGCTGCCGTGTGTGGAGGGGAGCACATGGCAGAGTTAGCAGAAGACAGAGCTGAATGTTCAGAGAAACCAAGGTAACCAGAGGTTGCTGCACAGAGTACAAGAAAAGAGAAAGTTCACAGATAAAGAACGTGAAAGATTTGCCGAGGATCCTCCTCAGGTATTCAGTGGAAAATTTATTAGCGTGTGCATGTCACAGTATCAAAAAAATAAAAATAAAAAAGAAGAGTCAGAAAGGATGACAAGAGAGATATCAGGCACTCATACGGTGTGGGTGTCCATTTTCCTCAGTCAGATGGGAAAAAATCTCATAATTCATTAGACATAGGGTAGAAAACAGAGAAGGGCCTTAAGTTGTGGGGAAGAATTAGGTCAAGACCAAACATGGCTTTACTTCTGCCAAACAAATCTTAAAAGCAAGACCTGAAAGGATCAAACTAATTAAGTAAACTGATTGTGTCCCAGAACCAGACACAAGAATATAAAAATGTTTAAAACCCAACAGGGTAAAATTTACAATATAATCAAAGATTACTAGGCTATAGAGGAAACAACACAATGATATCCTAAATTAGAAGAAAAATAAATCAATCAAGGTTGACCAAGAACTGATGCAGATGGTGGACTCTAGCAAGCAAGGATATTTGAACAGATATCATAACCATATTCAGCACATGAAAAAGTTAAGCAGAGAGCATGAAAACGTTTTTAAAAACACAAAAGAAAACTTTTAAAGATAAAATCTGTGATGACTAAGAAGAAAAAAATACACTGAATGAATTAAATTCAGATAATTTCAGAAGAAAAAAATAGTGAACTTGATGAAAAAGCCATAGAGACTATTGAAATGATACAGAGAGCAAACAAATGTAAAACGAAGAGTATCAGTGAACTGTAGGACAACTTCAGTTGGTCTAAAACATGGGTGGTTGGATTCCTAAGGAGAGGATAGAGAAAGGAGACATAAAAATTTAATGAAAAATAAATTATGATTATCCAATGATTAGCCAAATTTGATGAAAATAATAATTCAGGAGATCCTAAGCACAATGAAACTGAAAGCCCATCACTTGAGATGATGTGGTAAGTTAGCGGTATACAATGACTGCTAAAGTAATCAATAGCATTTTTGTTAAAAAAGGCATTTATACTTTATAAATCAAAAATTGAGATCAATTGGAATTATTTGCAAAAAATACCTCAATCTAAAGTAAAAAAAAAAAAAAAGGAAAAAGGGAACAAGAAACACGGGGCAAAAAGAAAACAAATAGCAAGATAAAATACTTCAACCTAACTTTATCAATAATCGCATGAATTCTAAATGATCTGAACAACAGAATCAAAAGTCAGGTTGTGTACAAATACAGCACCCATCTCTATACTCTGCATATAAGAAACACATTTGAAATATGAAGACACATATAGGTTATAGTAAAATGATAAAATATAATGTGTCCCATGATTCCTGTAATCATATTAAAGCTGGGATAGCTATAAATAATATCAAAAAACCCCACACACTAGATTTTAAAGGAAATAATATTGCCAAATTTTTAAAGCAAATAATATTCCAGAGATAGAGAGATATTTAATAATAACAAAGGGGTTTATTCATCATTTCTACCACAACTACAAGTATCAGACTGTTATTGTATTGCACATACCTGTAGTCTTACATATTGTGATACATATGTTTCTTTATATAAATTAATTTTATTTCTTTTGAGGTACTGAGTCTGAAAACGCTGAGCTACTGTCTTGAATCTTCAAACTCTCATCAGTTTATTGAGGTCATTTCTTTCTCATCTATGTTCACCTCTTTCTTTCATCACCAGAAGTTGGTGGAAATATGAAATTCTTCCTTTCTTTTTTATAACATAATTCATTTTATGGTCTACCAAGCTAGGATCAAACAACTAAAATGGCATATCAGCATGTTTTGGTAAACAAACACAATCTCTGGGCTAAGAAAAACTGCCATATGGCTTAAAATTGATATATTTTTCCAACGATGACATACATTATAAAATTATAAAAAAGAAAGAATCACAGTTGCCTTGAGAAATCTTGTATTCTATCTCCTTATATATACAGAGAGATATAAATGTTTTTTGACTGCCATTTATAGGTGATGGCATAATGCCAATAAAGTACAAGATTCAAGGAGTTTTCTGCCATAATAGCATGAGAAGATTTACTTTTTTCTCCCTCTTCTCTGTCATCAACAACCCTTGTATTCAAAATGGTTATCAGAATAAGAAGGAAACATAGCAAGTGCAGAAAGCTCTACACGTGTTTAGCAGAGGTCTTTATTCACTCACAGGCACTTTCAGCTCGGCAGTGTTCTATCCTAGACTGAGCATCTCAAGGAGATAATTATCAAATCAGAGAAAGATGCCCCAGGTTTTCAGTCAGGCATTTACAAGAATGGTTGAATATCTATGATTTAAAATAATTGCAAAATATATCAGAGTGATTGCTGAGTCAAACTGTGCTGTAGTTGTCACCAAGTTAGCACACATGCCAGATTAGTTTATACTTAGACTTTACTCAAATTATGCATGTGGGGAATAGATTTTTTATGTGATTAATGCTCTCATGAGTGAAAATTCTGAAATTCCAAATCAAATGCAACGTTTTGATAATAGTGTGAAATATTAGCCACAATTTTTGCAAACACTTGATAGGTCAGGATGAATGAACTGATTCCAAAGGAATCTAATTTTAGCCCACAATCTAATTCATCTGGATACGCTGGATACGCTGTCTGTGGAGGCTAACATTGTTTTGGATACACCTTCTGCTTGGAGGATAGAACATCTCCACTTTTCATCTTTTAATGAAAAACTACTTCAGAGCAGGAATTAAGAGACCTTGATATGCAATTCTGGTATTAAAGGAAATTAACATCATCAGCCAACTGATTTATATTTTATTGTGTTGTAACATAGACCACTGAACAGAAACAAAAATATTTAACATTTGTGTGCTGAAATCCTTATATGGTGATAGTAACATGGAACATATAATGCACATGAATGCTCAAGTCTGTGATATAGATCTATTATATGGAATTACATTTCACAGTGTCTATTGATACCTGATCCTTCTGAGGTAGATACTTAATATTAAATACAAAATACATTGTAGAAGTTTCTAAATTCTTAAAAGTTTGATTTAGGGACAAATTTTAATAAAAGCTATCAAGAATAGAAAACTAAGATTTATTTACTTTAAATATATGAGTGGCCACAATTAATCCTTCAATAATATAGGGAAGTAGGTAATAAAGCAACATTTTGCAGGTAAAGAAACCAAGGATCATAAAATGACAGTTAATAGGTAGAGTAGAAGGCTTCACACATATGCCCACTGAATTCTATAATTTCTGAGCTGTGCAAGTCCAAATAAAGTACAGCATATTGGTTAAATAAGCTTGTCATCCAAGTCAAATGTTCAGTTTTTATAAGTTTTCAACAATTGAAGTTATCATACCACTTCTTTCAATACTGAGATTTCAGGACTAATAAAGTTTAATCGGGATGTTCATACAGCTAAGTATTTATTTATAAAAATAAAATGTACCAACACCAGGAGCTGTGATAACAAGGTCAAATGACAACCTAGAATTGGATACTACAAGATGTTGCCATTCTAGTGAAATTAGGAGGAATAAAAACAACAAAAACTAAAACAACAAAAAGCAAAAACTAAACATCTACATATATAATTTCAATAAACAATTAAAAATAAATTACTCCTTTAATTGACTAGTGTAATTTATATAAGAAACACATATAGGCTATCCCTGTAATAATATTAGTATTGAAAAATCAAAGAGTGATCCCTTTAATTAATTAATTGTTTTGATGTTTTAATGATATTCATTGTTGTTCTTGAATACTCAAAAAGCCTCTGATATACTTCTCAATTATATCTTATTCTCTCAGGAGGTATCAGTAGAATCATACAGCCCTTGTTCTTTTCAAAATAACTAATCTAATGTGCTGTACCTGAGAATGTCCTGACTAGAAAAGCCATCTAGCAGATAATAGAACGAACGTTCTATAGTTTTTATTATCTGTCGCTACTGGAAGTTACTTCAATTCCACATATAATGATTTCAGAGGCTAAGCCTCATAGTCTGATACTTTACCAGATTTAGGAAAATAGGTCCACTATGATAGTCATACTTTTTTTACCCTAAAAGATGAACTAACATGCAATCTATCTCAGGTTATGTCTTTGTGTCCATAAAAGTCTATTTGTCGTGAAGTCATCATGATATGACATTGTTTCCCTTATGATTATATATCAAAGATTATATAGTCAATTCTAAATAGAAGTATGGAGCATATGGCAATAAACTAAGGCAAGTAGTCCTTAAAATATACACACTCAATACATACACATATGCACAGCTATTTTCTTCATTTTATTGCTTTTATGGGGCTCAGTGTTAGTTGTAGAAATGTTATGAAATTGTTTTTGTCAGATTTTCTTAGCTTGTGGCTAAGAGAACTTGTAAAAGTGTTGATATCTTTAGCAAATAGGAACTGTAAAACTTGACAAATAAATATAAATGTATTTTGTATATTAGTCAACCAATATTGTTATTAATGTGTAGGAATGGAATTGGGTTGTCTACCTTTGGAGATACATTTTCAAAGTATTCTAATACTTGTATGATTATTTTTTCAAATTTTAACACTTTTCTGGCAATAACAGTGAAAGTTGGGAGAAAGCTGGCTTACATTGTGTCATATAGTAAGATAATGCAATATTTGTGCTTTATCTTTTTGTACTTTAATATAAATATTGATTTACTTAACCTTATCATTGGTATCTCAGTGTTTAGTGATACAGTGTTAATGTCAGAACACTTAGCCTCTGGCTAGTCACTTTTAAATGTAATACATATGGAATAAGAAAACTTTTATATAAACCCTTTGAGTTTTGAATGTTCTGCTAATACAGGACAATGACAGTTAGAGACCATATATGCATGACCATGAATTAATTTGGGGTGGAATAATTATCTCAGTATAATATGCAATCTTTGGAGGATAAGGGAGCTTATACAATCCCATCCTTTTAAAATTGTACTCAGGGAGAACCCTAGTGTAGATGTCTTATAAATCCTGGACCTCCTGAGGGTGAGGATAAAATATTTTATTTTAACAATATCTGAGGCTAAAATATCTGAACACTGATTTAATTGTATTATTAAATTACTCATATCACTTATTACTATAAGTGATAGATTAGTAATTCTCACTTCTTAAGCTCTTTTCAAATACCAAGCAGTACACATTACCAATGTACTCTAATTGTGTCACAACCCTGAAAACAAATATTATTCTTTCAGTTTTACTAATGAAAAATAAAGAGTATTAGAAAGGTTCAATATCTTGCTAAACATATCACAGGTAAATATTCCAAGCTAAATATTCCAAGCATAGCTGTGATTCCAACACAAGTCTAATTCTGTTTTCTGAGAATTGACTATTCTCCTATTATATACCATTCAATTAATTACATAACTGAACAGAACGTACGGTCATGAATGACCATCTAATCATGGAATAGAAAATTCATAGTAATACATAGTAGATTTATATGACAGGAAACTCAAAGACTAACAACTACTAATTACAGAATAAAAGTGCCAAGCCTAGTGGCTTTGGCTAAGAGAATGGGCTGTGGAACTCACCTGCCTAAGTTTGAAATCCAGCTTTGACACTTAAAGCTGTATCCTAAGTTAATATATGTAACACCCTTAAAAAGCAATTGCTTCATGATAAGTGTTCCAATTATTCTTCCTAGCATAAGCAATTCTTAGTAAAAAAAAAAAATCTAGGGACAATACTTGAAAATGTACTATTTGGAATATAAGAAAATTTATGCTTACCGGTTTTCTATAATCTATGGAATTATAATTTCCACATCAGTGAAAGTAACACTTGATGAATTTCTAAAGATCTTGAATCAGCTATGTTTAGATTTGGGATGAGAGGTGAAGGAAAATAGGGATGAATCAGGTTATGTGTTATTCATCTGAACAGCTGCTAAAGCTCTCAGGGTCTATACCACTGTGAAATAATAATCAGTGTTATAAAAATTTACCAAAGAAAGGAGGCAAGTCTGGGGAGCCTGTGTATGTGAGATTTAGCAGACCATTAGCTACAAATAGCCCTTGATAAGTGGGCATAATGAGATGGCATGGGGAAAAAAAAAAAAAAACAGATAAAAGCCCAAATCATAGTTAAAGGAAAACTGCACTAATCTCTTGATTATTAGAGGAAAGATTAATTGGTTAATCCCCAGCAGGTAGTTGATTCTAGAACAATCACGAAGTGTCTGTTGATTACTGCTGTTTGCCAGCCATGTGGTCCAATACTTTTGGGCTGAACCATGTTTGCAATTGATGAGGGTAGGGAAAGGGAAGCAGGAAGTAGGTAAAAAGAAAGAAGAGGGAAATTATAATCAACACTAATGAGATGCTGTCTAATCATTGATGTACCCCTCTATACATTAACATAATATGTTTGCATTCTTTAAGCATTCTGTAGATAGAATTTACCCTGTATAAAGATGAAATATATTATATTATTGATTTATAGGATTAAGTTATGAACTTCTGAATTTCTAGGTGATTGCACTTGTGTGTATTCTTACTTTCTCTATGTAGTCTCCAGTTGAAATAACTCATCTTAGAATCCCTTCTTTGTTTACCATATATGCTATAATAACATATAAAATATAATTATAAATAGTATGTAATATGTAAGACTTCTGCTAGCCAGAAATAAAGTTTTAAATGTTTTTTATTAAAATTTTTAATGGGTTTAAGTTATTGAAACATACATCAAAGAAGACATTTATTGATCTAGTCAACAAATGTTTATCATCTTTCGACTCTGTTGCTAGAATGGGTTTGATATGGTTTGGCTGTGTCCCCACCAAGATCTCATCTTCAATTGCAGCTCCCATAATTCCCATGTGTCATGAGAGAGGCCTGGTGGGAGGTATTGAATCATGCAGGTGGGTCTTTCCCATACTGTTCTCATGATAGTGAATAAGTCTCACAAGGTCTGATGATTTCATAAAGGGGAGTTACCCTACATAATGCTGTCTTGTCTGCTGCCATGTAGGATATGACTTTGCTCTTCATTTGCCTTCAGCTATGACTGTGAGGCCTCCCCAGTCATGTGGAATTGTGAGTGCATTAACCCTCTTTCCTTTATAAATTACCCAGTCTTAGGTGTGTCTTTATTACCAGCATGAGAACAGATGAATACAGTAAATTAGTACCAGTTAAGTGGGGTGCTGCTGTAAAGATACCCAAAAATGTGGAAGCAACTTTGAAACTGGGTAACAGGCAGAGGTTGGAACAGTTTGTAGGGCTCAAAAGAATACAGGAAGATGTGGGAAAGTTTGGAACTTTCTAGAGACTTGTTGAATGGCTTTGATCAAAATGCTGATACTAACATAGACAATAAAGTCCAGGTGAGGTGGTCTCAGATGGGGATGAGGAACTTGTTGAAAACTGGAGCAAAAGTGACTCTTGCTATGTTTTAGCAAAGAGACTGGCAGCATTTTGCCCCTGCCCTAGAGATTTGTGGAAGTTTGAACTTGAGAGAGATGATATGATTTAGGGCATCTGGTAGAAGAAGTTTCTAAGCATCAAACTATACAAAACGTCATGTGTGTGCTGTTAAAGCAATCAGCTTTACGTATTCACAAAGATATGGTTTGGAATTTGAACATATGTTTAAAAAGGAAGCAGAGTATAAAAGTTCAGAAAATGTATGATAGGAAATAAAAACCCATTTTCTGAGAAGAAATTCAAGCTGGCTGCAGAAATTTGCATAAGTAACTAGGAGCCAAAGGTTAATTGCCAAGACATTGGGGAAAATGTTTTCAGGGCATGTGAGAGGTCTTCATGGCATCCCTTCCCATCACAAGCCAGGAGGCCTAGGAGGAAAAAATGATTTCACAGATTCGGCCCAAGGCCTTGATGCTTTGTGCAGTCTCAGGACTTGATGCCCTGCATCCAGCCTTGGCTAAAAGAGGCCAATACAGAGCTCAGGCCAAGGCTTCGGAAGGTGCAAGCTCCAAGCCTTGGCAGCTTACCAGCGGGGTTGGGCCTGTGGGTGCACAGAGGTCAACAACTGAGGTTTGGGAACCTCCACCTAGGTTTTGGAGGGTGTGTGGAAAGACACAGATGTCCAGGCAAAGGTGTGCTGCAGGGGCAGAGCCCTTATAGAGAACCTCTGCTAGGGTGTTGTAGAAGAGAAATATGGGGTGGGAGCCCCCACACAGTACAGTGTACCAGCCCCACTGGTACACTGCCTAGTGAAACTGTGAGTAAAGGACCAGCGTCCTGCAGACCCCAGAATGATTGATTCACTGATAGCTTGCACTCTGCACCTGAAAAAGCTGTGGAAACTCAATGCCAGCCTGTGAAAGCAGCCATTACGGCAGCTGTACTCTGCAAAGCCACAGGAGTAGAACTGCCCAAGACCATGAGCACCAACCTCTTGAATCAGCATGACCTGGGTGTGAGACATGAAGTCAAAGAAGATCATTTTGGAGCTTTAAGATTTGACTGACCCACTGGATTTTGAACTTGCATGGGCCTGTAGCTCCTTTGTTTTGGCCAATTTATAACATTTGGAAAGGGTGTTTTTACCCAATGCCTGTACCCCAATTGTATCTAGGAAGTAACTAACTTTCTTTTGATTTTAGAGGCTCATAGGCAGAAAAGACTCGCTTTGTCTCAGATGAGACTTTGGACTGTGGGCTTTTGAGTTAATGCTGAAATGAGTGAAGACTTTGGGAGACTGTTGGAAAGGCATGATTGGTTTTGAAATGTGGGGACAAAAGATTTGGGAGGGGCAAGGGGCAGAATGATATGGTATGGCTGCATCCCCATCCAAATCTCATCTTGAATTGTAGCTCCCATAATTCCCACATGTCAAGGGAGGGACCTTGTGGGAGGTAATAGAATCATGTGGGCGGATCTTTTGAGAGAGTGAATAAGTCTCATGAGATCTGATGGTTTTATGAAGGGAAGTTCCTCTATGCAAGCTCTCTTGCCTGCAACCATGTAAGATGTGACATTGCTCCTCATTCACCTTCAGCCATGATTGTGAGGCCTCCCCAGCCACGTGGAACTGTGAGTCAATTAAACATCTTTCTTTTATTAATTACCCATTCTCAGGTAGGTCTTTATTAGCAGCATGAGAATAGACTAATACAGTGTAACAAGTCACAGTCATGAAGATAAATAAGAGACATATAACTTCAGCCTTTAATTAGTTAAATTATACTGGAAGAGATGGCAACAATAACAAACCATATAAATAGAAACATGCAGTAATTACAAATTATGATAAGTACATTATAGGAAATATACTTGAAAAGAATTTGAGAAAAATGTAGGATTTGTTTTGGATAAAGTGATTAGGGAAATCCTGTTTGAGAAGGTATTATGGAAGCTGGGAACAAAAGGATGAGATGGAGCCATAATGATCAGGGAAAGGTAAAGATAATATGCAAAAGCTCTGGGTTGCTAATGGGCTTTCTATCTTTAAACCTTAAAAAAAAAACAATGAATTTGGAACAGAGAAAAAGGTGCGAATTTTTTTCTTATATCAAGATAGAGATTCAAGGACTACATACTACAAGGCATTGTAAGCCAAAGTAAAAGTTTTATAATTTACTGTAAGTAGAATAAGCAGATATTTAAAGATTTAAAGAAGGGATTGATTTGATCTGATTTATTTTTTAAGAAAATAATTCTGGCTCTATGTCAAAAGTGCATTAAAGGATGTGTAAAATCCAATCAAAGATTAGTTAGGAAGTTATTACTTTATTTCTGGGGTTCATATTGACTTCTGATTCTGTGAAATGGGAATGGGCAGTTATAAAGTTGAAATTTTTTTTAAAGGGAGACCCTACTTAAGCTACCCAATGAGTTGGATGTGCAGAATGAGAGCCAAGGACTCCTAGGTTTGCAGCCTAAGCACTGAGGTGGTAGTAAAGTCATTCACTGAGTCGAGGAAGGCATGAGGATAAACGCATATGCCATTATCAATGTGCATTTTGTGCCATGTGGGTTTACTTAAAGAATTAGGAGTCTCAATTTGGGCATACGTTTTGACTTTTATCAGATCTCTAAATAGAGATAGCAAGTTAACAACTGAAGGTGAATTTTTGGCATTCAGATAATCCTTGGCTAGGCACAAATACTTTAGAATAGTCACATTCAGGATGATATTATGAGCATGGACGAGTTCACCTACAAGGACAGTTGACAAAGTGAATACATAAGAAATTTTCTATTTTGTTTTGTTTTAAAGCCAATCACTATATAAAGACAAAGTGCAATATTTTATCCCAGTTTGCCATGTACAATTACTATTTATTGATTAAAACAATCTCTTCACACTTTCTCATGAATACACAAGCTTCCATGCTTCCTAAAACCCTTATCATTCCATTCTGATTTAGTGTAGAGTTTAAGGGAACAAACACTACGTACAAAATATGTATCCAAAGTGTTAGCCCAGACATTCCTCCATTAATAAACTTTTAGTACATGTACACATGCTGAAATGTACACATATGCTGAAAAGTACACACATGCTGAAATGCATCTTTTGTCCATATATAACTGAAAATCTTTCAAAAACAAAATTAAAATGAATCACATAATAATAATAATGAACTAATTTTTGTGTGTTTATTAATTTATCTAAAGTAAAAACATTAATAACAAATTATGTATCAGTTGAGAATTAATTTAGATATTATAAATTTGTTTTTCACTTAAATATTTTAAAATACCTTTTTAGGTATTTAATGTTCATAACGGTTTTTAATTCTTTAATATTCCTGTTAAAAGGTATTTTATATTTAAGAATGAATTATTTCTGTTAATCATTATGTCTATTAATATTTAAAACAAAAATGTCTTATAGCAATTTTTTTCATTTTAACATAAAGGTGTGGATCTTATTTATAATCTTTGCTGATCACTAGATTTATATAGAAAACAATTTAAACAGAATGATTTCAAATATCAGAATCAGTATCTCCTACCAACATCAAGCATTTTTCACAAATTTTTAGTAAAATATATGAGGTTGTACCTTAACAAATGCAGATTTACAGTATAGGACTAACGGGGCTATCTTATTTCCAAGCTAGATGACCCATCTGGGGTTGTGAATTTTTTTTAATTAAAAAATCTATATCCCACTTAAAACATATTTCTAAATTTTTTGATAAGAAAATTTTCTCACATTGATCAATAAGACAGGTTTAGGACAAATAAAGATGTTTAATATATAAATTATATAAAAGATCTTGAGTATCTTGAGTAGGGAAGTTTTTGAAGGGCTCCATTTTCAAACTCTCACTTTACTAAAATTAGAGATGACCACTTTAAGAAGTTATGTAAAACCACACTTATAAAAAGGTGTGTGTGTTTGAGCATACATGTGTGTATATGCATACACACACACTTTCAATTTATAAATTCATTGGACATTAGATAAAATCTCCAAGGTACTTTATTATAATGTTTCTGACATGGTTTGACTCTATGGCCCTCCCCAAATCTCATCTTGAATTGTAACCCGAATTGTAATACCCAAGTGTCATGGAAGGGACCTGGTGGGAGGTAATTTAATCATCGTGGTGGTTACTCTCATGCTGCTCATACTGTTCTCATAACAGTGAGTGAGTTCTCATGAGACCTGATGGTTTTATAAGGGGTTTCCTCCTTGCTTGGCTTTCATACTTCTCCTTCCTGCTGCCCTGTGAAGAAAGACATGTTTGCTTCCCTTTCTGCCATGGTTGTAAATTTCCTGAGGCTTCCTCAGCCATGCTAAACTGTGAGTCAGTTAAACCTCTTTCCTTAATAAATTACCCAGTCTCGGGTATATCTTTAAGAGCACTGTGAAAACAAACTAATACACTTTCCTTCCTAGAGTCTTATATTTTTACAAATAATATTCTTTTTTTTGTAATTTGCCGTATTTGCAGAATGACTTTTATTTAAAAAAAAATTGGCAAGTAACTCTTTTATTCTTTTCCCCACAGAACTCTACTTATTTAAATTGTAAAGTGTAAAACTTGAAAAGTGTGAAACAATGTATGAATATCTGTTATCTTCACATTTGGCCTGAAATAAAACTATTTCAACCTAATTGCAGTCACAGCCCACCTCCTTAAATGTGCCCCATACATCACCTCTACTGCTGATTATTCTCTAGGCAGTAACACACAGGATCACTAAATTCTCTCTTGCTAAAAATATAGATGCCTAGTGTAATCTCAAAAAAAGTTACCAAATAGTAGGCCATTCAGCTGTCACATTGACTTCTATGCTATTCTCTAGTAGAATAATTTTCTATTATTTGGCACAAGTATCTTACTCCTTACAAATAAAACTTTTCTTGAGATGTGACCATATGCTCCCTCTTGAAGTCAGTAAGAGTTAAGATTGTGTGTTGAAGGGCATAACTTAAGTAGTGAGTGCCTCGTAAGTTTGCCAAAAGCTATTAGTCTTCTCTGTGTCTCTGCTGCATTCCTATTTTCTAACATCTTTTCTTATGAAATATTTCAAGTGAAAAAATATACAATGTAACAGAAACAATGTACGTAGCACCCATCTCTGTAAAACTTTAATATTTTACATTTTTAGACTTCTTTATGTTTTATAGAAATAATAGATGACAATATCAGTCAAAGCTTTCTTTGCACTCTTTCCAATACCATAGCTGACCATTTTTACCAAGTAAACTCTATTGGGAATTAGCATTTAAAATTTCCAATCCATCATTTATATTTATATTACTATGTGTATGTACGTGTACACAATATATAAAATTGCAGTATATATAAATGTTTAATAGTGTTAAAATAAATATATTTTCATCTTTCCTCATTTAATTTTATATTATAGTGTTATTTTCTTTGAAACATGCATACGTAGCTTATCAATTTTATGCATTGTATATGCTCAATTATATTAATATGTAACTCATATATATGTATCTAACATTCTGTTTATAAATATTTAAATTGTTTATAATTATTGTCATTTCAATACTTCTTGTTGTACACATTCATATGATTTTCTTTACCAATGACCTCCTATCTTTTGGCCATAACATATAATTTAAAAATTCATACTATTTATGATCTTTCCACCCCTATCATATCCAAACATACTCATATGCAAAAACTGAAACAAAATATTGATGAAATGAAATTATACTTATTCCTTGTTTTATATCTTGACATATTCTTTTGTACTTTATTTCATTCAATCTGATTACCTAATATACTTGTCAATACCAGTAATTTGATTTATAACCCATTAATGGAGTTATAATTCATAGTTTGTAAAATATTTATCTAAGAATAAACTTAGACAAGACTCCCAGTTCTTGAACTGTACATAGAAATAAAATAAATATATTTACAAATTCTTCCATTGTAAGGTAAAAAATATTGTTACCAAAAGTAACCCAGTTATTGCCACAGAAAGAAAGAGACAGAGAGAGGCTGGGCATAATGGCTCACATCTGTAATCCCATCACTTTGGGAGGCTGAGGCGTGCAGATCACTTGAAGCCAGTTTGAGACCAGCCTGTCCAACATGAAGAAACCCTGTCTCTATCAAAAACGCAAAAAATTAGCCGGGCATGGCGGTGGAAACCTGTAATCCCATTTACTCGGGAAGCTGAGGCAGGAGAATCGCTTGAACCTAGGAGGCGGAGGTTGCAGTGAGTTGAGATTGCACCACTGCACTCCAGCCTGGGTGACAGAGTGAGATTCTGTCTCCAAAAAACATATCAATAATGATAACGAATCTATTTGATGTTCAGCCCTTTATCAACCCAAAGTAAAAGGTTTTTTTTCCCTACCTTTTTCCTACCTTCAATAAGTTTTACAAAAATTGTCATAACTGATTGTGAACAGCACTCCTTTTTCCCCCTTATCTTCAGAAATACCCTTTATCTAAACCTGGAGACCTACCTATTCTATTCTAAAATCTATCCTCTTTCAAATGCTCTCCACCCACCAGCACTTTCTTTATATTCAAACTAACAGAAACACATTTTGTTCTTGATTTCTTTTCTGAGTGTCACACTCAATCAGAATTTTAAATTGTCTAGCTGTCATTTATTTTGCCAAATACTATTAAGGCAGGCATTTCCATTGTTCTACAATAACTCTAAGAACATATTGTTTAGAACAGTAACATTGTTATTACATTGGTAGCTTTGCACTTGAAATGGAGCACATTGTAACATTTGACTTTGTCACAAGGCAATACAACATAGAGCTCTAGTCACAGTTTCTCTCCCTGAACTAAATCTCTGCTGATTACAGACACAAGAAGTATAATAGTCTGCATTCTGGCAAATATGTAATATGTAAAGCCTCCATATATCAATCCTGTGCAGAATTACTCTGATTAATTTATATTCACTTCTAGTAAATAGTAATTCCCAGTCCCATAAACAGGGATTTACATGTTCAGTAGAGCAATAGAAAGGTATTGTCAACATGCTGATCTCATAGCTCTGCAATTTGTGGGGTTTCTAAGGCAATTATTTTAGCATGTCTATCATATTGCTATTATGTTTCTGGAGAGCAGGTGGCACGTTGTAAAAAGCTATATATTATACAGAGATATTTTAGTTAGAATAAAGCAATGTATCATTTTTCTTAAATTTCTCAGCCCTTGCTTATTTTAATTTGAAACAATTTGAATAAGTATAAAACATTAGTTTCCCAGTTGTACTGCCCTTAAAATGTAGCATATTTCTTACCTGAAGGCATAAACTTTAGTGACATCCTAATCATTTTCACTGCAACCAATAGTTGTGCTGTAAACTGAGGATTAAATAGTAGGTGGAGAACAAACAGCAGGAGCAGATGAATTCCTAAAATCAAATGATCTCTATTTGAATGCAAATATCGCTATTAATAAAGAATGAGAGAGGAAAACATTTTTTAAAATATGTAATATATTAAAATAAATTATTTCTGAGCAGGTTTTTTTTCTAGCAGCTCTTCAATGAGCTATTTCTTCATATATTGGTAACTAATTATTACATATATTTTGTATGTATTTTTAATATCCATAAGCTATGGATTTCGTCTATATTTCTTGTCCGCGCATTTGAAAATAATTTGCAGAAACGCATTTAAACTTCTTGGTTTCATGCTAAGTGGGAAACAATGGATTGAAGACTTAATCTACTCTGCAAGCTAGAAGCTAAATTAATGGTCCCTAATATAATACAATGAAGATGAGGTTTTCAAAGCCTATATCTGGCCTTCTTTACATATGTAAAGATACTAAGTTTTGCAATGATAGTTGATCACAGACAGCAATCCAGCTGGGCTTTACGTATTGCCTGTTTTTTATATACCTATTTATTTACATTTTCCAGAGCTGTATCTTGAATGTAGTATCAACGTTGTGTTTAAAAGTACATACAAAGGTGGGATTCATCACTCTTTTAACTGCATATATTATAAGGAGATGAAGAAGGAAATCATGAATTTAGATGCTAATATTTTGGTCACCTTGGTAGTAAAGAGCTTTACAGTTTCTACCATACTCCCTCTGGCTTCAAAATTCTTCACAAACAAAAGTGAAACTACCTCTCTGTTTCCTTGATCTGAGTCTCGTCCTTGTCTAGTCTGTGCCCTTGCATGCACTGCTCATTCTTCTTTAATTACTTTCCCACCTTGTCATACAGGCAAATCCTGCTGATTTTCAAACATAAACACCACATAATCTCATCAGAGGCTTCTCTCTCTTCAGAGGTACACGTATTTCAATTGATTCAATGATCAATGGATTCAATTGATTCAATGATCAATGAGTCAACCATACCTTTATTAGATTTGCGTTTTTATTTTGCATGCATCTATATTTTTACCACATACGGTTTTGAATTCTTGAAGTGCCTCTTCTCCTTTGTTGTTGTTGTTGTTGTTCTCAATCTCCTTTGCCTGTTAATCTTTCCCCACTAGGCTCTGACAAACATCGCAGTTGTTTCTTCAGAATACTTTCCTAGGACCTAGTTGTCAATATGTTATATACTCGTTTCTTAGGTGACTTGACATATCCACATATTTCTCACATTTACATCATTAGCTTCAAACACTTTAGAAACAACCTATTTCCTCCATGTTTCGATAATACTTCAAATTCAACAAGTCTTAAAATTAAAAACACTTTAGGTTTCTCCCCCAAACCTAACATTTCTCCATGTTTTCTATTCCAGGGAATGATACAAGCTTGTTGTGCAAGCCAGAAATCTGAATGTATTCTTTGACATCTACCACTCTTTTTCACTCTCTCCTTATGTGGAAAGTACTATGAATTTATTCTCCAATCATCTTTTTAATCTGGACACCTCTGGCCATTTCTATTGCCACAACCATAGTTCAATTTATTGTCATCTCCTAACTGAACTACTGTAATCGTTTCCTAATACTCACTCAGATGATCTTACTTTATGTAATATCTACTTCACATACGCAGCTGGAGTAAAATGTTACATTACAAATCTGATATGAGAAAATTACATCTGGGAGCATTTTAATTTACTTTAATAGAGAGATTCTTTTGTTATGCAAATATCCCTTCAATGACCAAATTGTCTTTCTAAGGGGATGTCATCAAGAGGGAAAAGAGCTTAAATTTATTGAACTAAAGAAATAAAGCAATTATTCAAGTAAATAATTCTGTATGAAGTGTTTATGCATATGTCTTATGTAAAATATACTTGATTCTTTCATATGCACACTTGAGATCTTTACGTTCTAAACACCCACAAGTACTCTGAGAGCCTTCATTTCTTATCCTGTAAATAAGTGGGATTTTTTTTTGTAAAACAAAAAAATTAAAAACAAAATTAAAAGCACTGTAGCACATCAATATCATTAATACTTAAAATGTCATTTACATTGGTAAGCAACCTGAATAATTAAAAAATGCAAATTTAGCCTACTTAGGAGTAATAACTTTATATGTAAACCTTATGAGCTGAATTTCATTACTTATTCATAATATACTAACAATTAAAAAAACAAAGTAATGTAACAAAAATGTGAAAGTCAATATGTAAACAAGTGGCCCTATGGCAATTGAAGTGGAGTGAGATACTTTCTTCTTCTCTATTAAGAAAAAGAACTTTATATGGAAAATATTCATTGAGTCCCACTCAAATAAATTGTCTTCAAAATAAAATAAATTTACAGAGTAATTTTTTTAACTTCCCTTCCCACTAAGTCATGCTCAACTTAGCTGTTAGGTATGCTGTAACCACAAAAATATCAAAATTTCAGAAAATCTGCCATTGACACAGATGATAGTCTTTCACTTGTTTTTAACTTCATTAAAAATTTAATCTATTGTTTTAGTCTATTAGTCGGATACCATACTACAAAACTGGTGCCAACTGAGGAACATCAAATTTATTCCCTTGTATTTTAAACCAATTATGGTTGATTATTAAGTTTAAAAATTAATGGTAAAGAAAATGCCTAGTGAGTTTACAACCTCATTCGTCTAAAACAGGTAAATATGTGTTCATATTTAATGCAGTTTGAAAACTGTACTTTATTTAAATCATTTCCTAGCAATTCTGCCAGGTTACACAAGACTTTCTCTTATTTCTATGTTTTCTAGGGTATTTTGTTAGTAGCCATCATATTTAAAATGTAACATCATTATCCTTGATTTCTGTTTCCATTTGTCTTCTCCTTATCATCTACCACTATTTTTCTGTCAAGAGAATGTCTTTAAAATTTCCTTATGTATACATTTCTTCAGCCATGAACTTGATCAAAATCTTGAAAATAAAAATGAAAACTTTAGAGGATTATAATCAATGCCTCACTGAAGAGGCAACCTGGGTTTTTTCCCTAGTTAATAAATGTAAGCACTGGGTCTAGAATACAAGTCACTCATGTTCTAGGCCAATGCAAATAAAATCATGGGATACCCCATACTTTAAGACAGTAATTAAATTAGTGTTCCCCTAACATTGTGCCCAGTGCAAATACATTAACCCACTGTTGTCTTAGCTATTGCTAGAAGAAATGTCATCACATCACCCCAGCCAGGATTTGACTTTTGAAATCTGGTAGGATCCGATTTCTTACTAAGTTGTTTTTCTCATATGTAGAATATTGTACATTGCATAGTTTTCAATATTTGGTCAGAATAAGATAACAATAAATTTACAGTGATGTAAAGATATGTTTTACACCCAGTCAAAAGCATACCTTTGATATAAATAAGTCATAACTATGCTTAAATAATGCAATGTTTTAGCCATAGTTTTATTTTTTAATTTTTATGTCATATTGAAAGAAATCTAGTGAGAAGAATCATGAAAGGTAACATTATATAATGCATTCTCTATTGTCCCAGATGATTACTTCTTTTATGATCTTGGAAATTGTTTTTATGGGTTATCAGGAGTAAAACTTATCCAGTATCTACCCCATTTTGATAAATACAAAGGCTATATGTAGCATAGACATCTCACAACATAGACATCTCACAAAATATTTAGCTTTCCAAAAAACTTGAAAAAAATCATAGTATAAAATTTAATTTATATTATTTTCTAAGACAGACAGAGTAAGTATATACAAATATAAAACTCATCAGTGATTGCTTAAGTTGGAAGGTGATTACATCAAAGGAAACATCTTTTGTGATTGAAATAGTCTATGCAGTGTTTCAATGGTGGTTATAAGACGCATATATTTTCAAAAGTTATTAAACTATACACTTTAATGTATGTATTTCAATGAATTTAAATCATATACCTCAAAAATATCATTGTATAAAAAGAGATTTTAATTTTTAATATACTTTTGGCAGATAGGCTACAGTTAAATGAGTAATAATTGCCTAAGAGTGGTGCAGATCCTTACTGAAATAAGCTTATATGACTGCAAAGAACTTGAGCAAATACAGGGTGCTAAAAACAACAAATACTATAGAAGACAAGGATGTGCTGTAGAACTAGGATATCACCGAAGAACTTAACAAAGAAGTTTCTAGAAAGATATGTTTCTCACCTACTTCTTTCTCTTTCCTCAGACCTTCCTAAAGAAGAAAAATTGTCTCAACCAATAAGTTCACCATATATTAAAAGTAAACTTCTCAACCAAAGTATTGAGGGTTAGAGACAATAGAGTAAAGACATCAATATTTTCAGTAAAATTGATATCTAAACTGGAGTTTTATACCCAGATATACTATATGTAAAATATGAAGATAGACTACAAATACTTTCAGACATTAAATAAAAAGTTACTGAATGATTCACTCTGTAAACATGGAGGAATGACCAAGAAAAGAGGGAGGTATTGTTTCCCAGACACAGCGTAATAAACACAGGAAATATAAAATCTTAGTACTTCAGAAGATTACAAAGGGAAGCCTGAGAATGATAGCTTTGGGAATCTGTCAAACTGTCACAGAAAAATTAGAAATGAGTACATATATATCTAAGAAAAGCAATGAGACTTTTACTAACATTTCTACCTATGATTCTGTGTTTTGTTTAAAAGGTTACTGGACTCTGTATTTTATCTTTTTAGGTGATAAGAAACATCAGAAAGAGTTGAGGGGCCAGGAAGTGGGTCCTCTCGGACCCTTGGAGTAGAAAGCACTCTGCTGATGGGCTTTTGAAATGTTACTTCTAGAGTTATCTGCATCATTAACAACTTTTTTTTTTTGTCTCAGAAGTCTATCTTTGATTTTATAAACTGACACGATTTCTTTTTCTGTCATGAGTGCATGATACTGTATTTCTTTAACAAGCCCATTACACTTTTTCACCATGTCATCGAAAATTTTATTTTTTTGCATGTGTAGGGAGGTCAGACATCATTTTTATTTCCTTGTTCATCATTATCCCTGAACATAGCCGCAACACAGAGGTTGTGCCAGGCATGCAGGACTGTGTCTTTAGTCACTGTGTTCCAAGCATTGGCAAAAACAAATACAGCATCCTTTATATTAGAGTTCTTCCGAAAACGTCTACACTCATGGCTCTGTTCATTGCTGCTAGCACGCTGTTCAAGAAAGTATTTTTCTATTTACCCTTCATTGATCTAAGAATCCCTTGGTCACATGTCTGAATTAATGAAGTCACTGTTTGGGGAAAGTGCATGGCATGAACATTATTTTAATAAAAATGTCAGTTGGAGAATAAGCAGAAGAGTTTGAAGAAATAGCACAATCTTGCGCTCTTCATTCAGTCTAGCTTCCCCGCAGTGAGTACCAGTCACTGGTACAAAATGTTTGTGACACCAATCCAAAAAGATATGCCTGATGACTTATGCCTTATTGTTAGAATAATAATAGACTAGTAAGAAATTCACTGCTTGAAAGCAGAAGACACAAGCTTTTGCCTATAACAGTGAGTCAGGTTTATACTTATGAGTTCCTGCTACATTAGCATCTTCCAGCAGAGTTATTCTGTCCTTGGCATACTTAATTCCTGTAAGGCCTGACTCATCAGCTGTATTCAGTGTCTTTCTGGAGAAATACTACCAAAATAATGATGTTTCATTAGTATTATAGACTTGTTCTGGCATCATCAAATTTTCATCACCGGTGACCTTGGCAAACTAATTGATGAATTTCTCTGCTTATCTTCGATCAGGAAATGCTTTATCACCACAAAGTTTAAAAAGTTTAATCCCATGTCTTTTCTTAAATTTTTACAGTCAGCCTACTGAACATTCAGAGGTTTATTTGATTTTTAGTTTATTATAATAAATCTTTGTTTTATGATCAGCATACCATTAACTGACTTGTGCTCACGTTGATGCCAGTAGATCCACTCTTTTAATACACAATTGAGATATTCATTTTTAGCTTTATACAGTGTTTTTCTATTTTCCATGAACTTCCATCATAGACTCTTATACTTCTGTTTCTTTTTGTCATATATGGTGGTAATTCCAACAATATACTTTTATGTAAGATATTTCAGACTTACACTGCTGCCCAGTTTCTCCAACATCTGTAGGCCTTTTCGATATTTTTAACCATATATTTACACCACTGAACAGAGAATAAGAAAAATCACAGTGAGTAATGCATGCAGGTCTTGGACCCATGTGGGATATTGTAGGGAACCTGTAGATGTAGATTCATCTGGCCTGTCACGTACAATTTTCTATCCTTGTTCAGTGTGCTAGTTCAGGGGAATATAAGCATGGAATAAAAAGTGATATTGCAGCTGAAAGAGGATGGTAGGGTCTTTTTTTTTCTCCTTAAGGACACTGAATATGCTATATGTTTTTGTGCCTGCATTTGTATGGTAACCTGTCACATGAGGTCAGGTGTAAAATTTTTAACTTCTAATGTTATGTTGGCACTCAAAAGGTTTTAGATTATGGAGCACAATGGATTTCAGATTTTTGAATCAGGAATGCTCAAACTGAATGCAGACTGCTCTTCGAATTAGTTTAGCTACAAAGGAAACTGTTGAGTCACAAAAAATCAATTTAGGATTACATAAAGGGTTTTATAAGATGTAAGAGACTACAGAAGATTCTTAGGATCAAAAGAAAGAGAATAATATATGTAAAAAGAAGCAATCCATTTGTGTTCAGGACCTCTCAATTATATGTAACTTCATTTAGAGACTCTCCCAAATCTACCAGAGTAGCCTACCATGTATCTGTATCCCACACTGTTAAATTTTATGCCTGGCTGATTTAGACGTTAAATTATTTGAGAGTGGAGACTGCATCTTGTTGATCGCTTAATCTCTAGCACTTGACACATGCTGCACACATCTAAGACTCAAGATCCATTTGTTGAAAAAGGAATAAATGACCCAAAGCTTTGTTAACTCTGATAAATATGGATAACAAGCTTTAATACTGAGATAGTATACTAGGAAAGTTCACTTTTGAAATATTTTGTAGTGTTCATGAATGTGAAATTACCTTTTAAGAATCAAAAAAATTATAAAATAAAAATCTAGTTATTTTATCATAAACTATAATACAAGAAAATACAAATATGTTTTATTTACATTTCCTTGAGTATTCTTATCTGTATAATAGCAATTAGTCTGCCTGTGACTAAAATGAATACAATGGGGAGACAGTAGTTTGTTTTCATTAATTAGAAGTGTTTCTGATTAGACTATATCACAATTGGAGGACTCAAATTTCAACCAATCAAGTAACACTTTATGCTTAGATATATAAAAAGTGTACTATGGCACAATTTATTGCTATGAAAAATTAAATATACTGTTCTATATATTAATTAATAACAGCTACAATATAATTTTATAAATATCTCTGTGTTTTTGTGGTAAGATTCCTTAAATCGATATCAACCCTTTTAATAGATGTTTGTGTGTACCACACAATATTGTTTACTATAGGCACAATGTTGTACAGCATTACTTATTCATCTTTCATTATCAAAACTTTATAGTCTTTGATTAACAAGTTCTAATTTTCCCCTCATCTTTCTGCCCTTGGTAATCATCATCCTGCTTTCTGATGTTATGAGCTTAACTATTTTAGTTTCCTCATGTAAGTGGAATCATGCAGTATTTGTCTTCCTGTGCCTTATTTATTTCATGTAGCATAATATTGTTGATTCATATCATCACATATTGCATGATTTAGTTCTTTGTCAAGGCTGAATAATATTGCATGGTATGTATATACAACATGTTCTTTATCCATCCATCTCTTGGTAGACATCTAGGTTGTTTCCATGTCTTGGCTATTGCGAATAATGATGCCATGCACATGTAAACACTACTGATATCTCTTCTAAATCTTGATTTCAGTCATTTTGTATAAATACCCCAGAAGTGGGACTGATGGACCATTTTGTAGTGCTGTTTTTTATTTTATTTTTTTAAGTGGTGAGGTCTGTCACCCAGGCTGGATTGGGATTATGATAGCTCACTGTAGCCTTGAACTCCTGCAGCCTTGAACTCTTGGGCTAAAGAAATCCTCTTGCCTCCACAAGCATGTGCCACCATACCTGGCTATTTTTTTTTTCTCTAATAGAGAGACTGGGTCTTGATTTGCTGCCCAGACTAGTCTTGAACTCCTGGCTTCCAGTGATCCTCCAGACTCGGCCTACCAAAATGCTGAGATTACAAATGTGAGACACCATGCCTGGCCTGGTAGTTCTATTTTTAATGGTTTGAGGAACCTCCACACTATTTTTCAAAGCAGCTGCATCATTTTGCATTCTCATTAAGAGTGAACAAGTGTTCCAACTTATATACATCCTTGATAATACTTTTTTTTTAAAAAAAGTTTGATATTAGCTATCCTTACAGATATGAGGTGATATCTCATTGTGTATTTGGTTTCTGTTTCCTTGATGATTGTTGACACTGAGCATTTTTTTAATATAACTGTTAGGCATTTGCATGTCTTCTTTGGAAAAATGTATTTAGTTATTTTGTCAATTCTTTAGTAGGGTTGTTAGGTTTTCTTGCTGTTATGTTGTAGCAATTTATTATATATTTTTGAAATTAAGCCCTTATCTGACATATGATTTGCAAATATTTTCTCCCATTTTGTAGGTTTGTTTTTCATTTTGTTGGTTGTTTAGTATGCTTTTCAGTTTGATGTAGACTCATTGGCCTATTTTTGCTTTCTTTGCCTGTGCTTTCGATGTTATATTCATGAATCTATTGCCATAAAATCAAGCCACAAAGATCATCCCATATATTTTTCTAAGAGTTTTACAATTTCACATCTTACATTATAGTTTTTAATGCATTTTAAGTTGTTTTTGTGCATGGTATAAGATAAGGATCTGATTTCATTATTTGGCATGTGGATATCCAGTTTCCCCAATACCATTTGCTACAGAAATAATCACTTCCCCATTGTGTATTCTGAGAATCCTCCTCAAAGCTAAACCATATATGTGTGGATTTATTTTCTGGGCTCTTTATTATGTTCCTTTGGTCTACTGTTTTTATCCCAGTCACATACTGGCTAAGTACAGTAGTTTTTAATATATTTAAAATCTGAAAGTTGATGCCTCCAGCTTTGTCCTCAGTTCTCAAGATTGTTTTGGCTCTTCAGTGTCTTTTGTGATTGCAAATGAATTTTAGAATGATTTTTCTCTGTTTTTATAAAAATACCATTAGCATTTTTATGGTAATTGCATTTAATCTGTAGATACAATATTAATTTTTCCAATCTATGAACATAGGATTTATTTTCATTTGTTTGTGTCTTCAATTTCTTTCATCATGTTTTGTAGTCTTTAGTATCTCACCTCCTTAAGTTTATTCCTAAATATTTTATTCTTTTGATGCTTTTGTGAATGGGATTGCTTTTCTAATTTTCTTTTCAGAGAGTTCACTATTAGTATATAGAAACACAAATGATTTTTGTATGTTGATTTTGTATCCTACTTCTTTGCTGAATTCATTTATTAATTGTAGGGGTTTTAAATAAAGATTTTAGGATTTTCTATGTATGTAAGATGATGTCATCTGCAAATGGGAGTAATTTACATTTTTTTCTGATATTTATGCCATGTTTGCTTGTCTAATTGCTCCAAGTGAGACTTCCAATACTATGTTTAATGAATGTGGAGAGAGCGGGCATCCTTGCCTTGTTTTTGATCATAGAGGGAAAACATTCGGATTTTCACCATTGAGTACAATGTTAGTTCTGGGATTTTCATATGTGGATTTTTATTGTATTGATGAACATTCCCTCTAAACCGAGTTTATGGAGCATTTTAATCATGAAAACTTGTAAAATTTGTCAAATGCTTTTTGGCATCTATTGAGAAGATCATGTAAATTTTATCTTTCATTCTGTTAATGCTCTATATTATATTACTTGATTTGTATTTGCTTAACTGTCTTTCCATCCCAGGGTTAAATCTTACTTGTTCATGTTTGTCAAAGATCAGATAGTTGTAGATATGTGGCATTATTTCTGAGGGCTCTGTTCTGTTCCATTGATCTATATCTCTGTTTTGGTACCAGTACCATGCTGTTTTCGTTACTGTAGCCTTGTAGTATAGTTTGAAGTCAGGTAGTGTGATGCCTCCAGCTTTGTTCTTTTGGCTTAGGATTGACTTGGCGATGCGGGCTCTTTTTTGGTGCCATATGAACTTTAAAGTAGTTTTTTCCAATTCTCTGAAGAAAGCCATTGGTAGCTTGATGGGGATGGCATTGAATCTGTAAATTACCTTGGGCAGTATGGCCATTTTCATGATATTGATTCTTCCTACCCATGACCATGGAATGGTCTTCCATTTGTTTGTATCCTCTTTTATTTCCTTGAGCAGTGGTTTGTAGTTCTCCTTGAAGAGGTCCTTCACATCCCTTGTAAGTTGGATTCCTAGGTATTTTATTCTCTTTGAAGCAATTGTGAATGGGAGTTCACTCATGATTTGGCTCTCTGTTTGTCTGTTGTTGGTGTATAAGAAGGCTTGTGATTTTTGTACATTGATTTTGTATCCTGAGACTTTGCTGAAGTTGCTTATCAGCTTAAGGAGATTTGGGGCTGAGACAATTGGGTTTTCTAGATATACAATCATGTCTTCTGCAAACAGGGACAATTTGACTTCCTCTTTTCCTAATTGAATACCCTTTATTTCCTTCTCCTGCCTAATTGCCCTGGCCAGAACTTCCAACACTATGTTGAATAGGAGTGGTGAGAGAGGGCATCCCTGTCTTGTGCCAGTTTTCAAAGGGAATGCTTCCAGTTTTTGCCCATTCAGTATGATATTGGCTGTGGGTTTGTCATAGATAGCTCTTATTATTTTGAAATACGTCCCATCAATACCTAGTTCATTGAGAGTTTTTAGCATGAAGCGTTGTTGAATTTTGTCACAGGCTTTTTCTGCATCTATTGAGATAATCATGTGGTTTTTGTCTTTGGTTCTGTTTATATGCTGGATTACATTTATTGATTTGTGTATATTGAACCAGCCTTGCATTCCAGGGATGAAGCCCACTTGATCATGGTGGATAAGCTTTTTGATGTGCTGCTGGATTCGGTTTGCCAGTATTTTATTGAGGATTTTTGCATCAATGTTCATCAAGGATATTGGTCTAAAATTCTCTTTTTTGGTTGTGTCTCTGCCTGGCTTTGGTATCAGAATGATGCTGGCCTCATAAAATGAGTTAGGGAGGATTCCCTCCTTCTCTATTGATTGGAATAGTTTCAGAAGGAATGGCACCAGTTCCTCCTTGTACCTCTGGTAGAATTTGGCTGTGAATCCATCTGGTCCTGGACTCTTTTTGGTTGGTAAGCTATTGATTATTGCCACAATTTCAGCTCCTGTTATTGGTCTATTCAGAGATTCAACTTCTTCCTGGTTTAGTCTTGGGAGAGTGTATGTGCAAGGAATTTATCCATTTCTTCTAGATTTTCTAGTTTATTTGCATAGAGGTGTTTGTAGTATTCCCTGTTGGTAGTTTGTATTTCTGTGGGATCGGTGGTGATATCCCCTTTATCATTTTTTATTGCATCTATTTGATTCTTCTCTCTTTTTTTCTTTATTAGTCTTGCTAGCGGTCTATCAATTTTGTTGATCCTTTCAAAAAACCAGCTCCTGGATTCATTAATTTTTTGAAGGGTTTTTTGTGCTCCTATTTCCTTCAGTTCTGCTCTGATTTTAGTTATTTCTTGCCTTCTGCTAGCTTTTGAATGTGTTTGCTCTTGCTTTTCTAGTTCTTTTAATTGTGATGTTAGGGTGTCAATTTTGGATCTTTCCTGCTTTCTCTTGTGGGCATTTAGTGCTATAAATTTCCCTCTACACACTGCTTTGAATGTGTCCCAGAGATTCTGGTATGTTATGTCTTTGTTCTCGTTGGTTTCAAAGAACATCTTTATTTCTGCCTTCACTTCGTTATATACCCAGCAGTCATTCAGGAGCAGGTTGTTCAGTTTCCATGTAGTTGAGCAGTTTTGAGTGAGATTCTTAATCCTGAGTTCTAGTTTGATTGCACTGTGGTCTGAGAGACAGTTTGTTATAATTTCTGTTCTTTTACATTTGCTGAGGAGAGCTTTACTTCCCAGTATGTGGTCAATTTTGGAATAGGTGTGGTGTGATGCTGAAAAAAATGTATATTCTGTTGATTTGGGGTGGAGAGTTCTGTAGATGTCTATTAGGCCCTCTTGGTGCAGAGCTGAGTTCAATTCCTGGGTATCATTGTTGACTTTCTGTCTCGTTGATCTGTCTAATGTTGACAGTGGGGTGTTAAAGTCTCCCATTATTAATGTGTGGGAGTCTAAGTCTCTTTGTAGGTCACTCAGGACTTGCTTTATGAATCTTGGTGCTCCTGTATTGGGTGCATATATATTTAGGATAATTAGCTCTTCTTGTTGAATTGATCCTTCCCTATTTAATAAATGGTGCTGGGAAAACTGGCTAGCCATATGTAGAAAGCTGAAACTGGATCCCTTCCTTACACCTTATAAAAAATCAATTCAAGATGCATTAAAGAGTTAAACGTTCGACCTAAAACCATAAAAACCCTAGAAGAAAATCTAGGCATTACCATTCAGGACATAGGCATGGGCAAGGACTTCATGTCTAAAACACCAAAAGCAATGGCAACAAAAGACAAAATTGACAAATGGGATCTAATTAAACTAAAGAGCTTCTGCACAGCAAAAGAAACTACCATCAGAGTGAACAGTCAACCTACAAAATGGGAGAAAATTTTCGCAGCCTACTCATCTGACAAAGGGCTAATATCCAGAATCTACAATGAACTCAAACAAATTTACAAGAAAAAAGCAAACAACCCCATCAAAAAGTAGGCAAAGGACATGAACAGACACTTCTCAAAAGAAGACATTTATGCAGCCAAAAAAAAAACATGAAAAAATGCTCATCATCACTGGCCATCAGAGGAATGCAAATCAAAACCACAATGAGATACCATCTCACACCAGTTAGAATGGCAATCATTAAAAAGTCAGGAAACAACAAGTGCTGGAGAGGATGTGGAGAAATAGGAACACTTTTACACTGTTGGTCGGACTGTAAACTAGTTCAACCATTGTGGAAGTCCGTGTGGCGATTCCTCAGGGATCTAGAACTGGAAATACCATTTGACCCAGCCATCCCATTACTGGGTATATACACAAAGGACTATAAATCATGCTGCTATAAAGACACATGCACACGTATGTTTATTGCAGCATTATTCACAATAGCAAAGACTTGGAACCAACCCAAATGTCCAACAATGATAGACTGGATTAATAAAATGTGGCACATATACACCATGGAATACTATGCAGCCATAAAAAATGATGAGTTCATGTCCTTTGTAGGGACATGGATGAAATTGGAAATCATCATTCTCAGTAAACTATCGCAAGAACAAAAAACCAAACACTGCATATTCTCACTCATAGGTGGGAATTGAACAATGAGATCACATGGACACAGGAAGGGGAATATCACACTCTGGGGACTGTTGTGGGGTGGGGGGAGGGGGGAGGGAAAGCATCGGGAGATATACCTAATGCTAGATGACGAGTTAGTGGGTGCAGTGCACCAGCATGGCACATGTATACATATGTAACTAACCTGCACAATGTGCACATGTACCCTAAAACTTAAAGTATAATAAAAAAAAAAAAGAAATTTTCCAAAAAAAAAAAAATCTTACTTGTTCATGACATTTAATATTTTAAGTTTCCTGGTGAATTCAGTTTGCTAGTATTTTGCTGAGAGTTTTTGAATTTATATTCATGACGAATATTGACCTAGCCTTTTCTTTTTTGTGGTATCTGTCTGGTTTTGATATCATGATATTGCTGAACTCAGAAAATGAGTTTGAATGTGTTTTATTCTCTGCAACTCTTTGGAAGAAGAGTTTTAGAAGAACTGGTGTTAATTCTTTTTTAAATGTTTCACACAATTCACCAGTTAATTATTTGGTCCTTGACTTTTCTTTGTTAGAAGGATGCATTTGGTTACTGATTTTATCTCCCCACTAATTACAGATCTATTCAAATTTTCTATTTCATTTTGACTCAGGTAGGTTTATGTTTCTAGGGATTTTTCTACTTTTCTTGGTTATACAATTCATTGTCATATGGGTGCTCATAGTTGTCTCCTGTGATTCTTTTATATTTTAGTGGCATCAATTGTAATGTATTTCCTTTCTTTTCTGATTTTGAGTCTTATCTTTTTTGTTTGTTTGTTTTTAGCTATTATTGCTAACCATTTGTCTACCTTGTTTATTTTTTAAAAAATAACTTTTTATAGATTTTAAAATTGTTTTTATATGTTTGATGTAATTGCTTTGTTCTCTAATCTTCATTATATTTTTCCTCTGGTAATTTGAGTTTGCTTTAATTTTTCTATTTATTTGAAGGATAGATTTAGATTGGTTGTTTGAGATCTTTCTTTTTCTAATGTAGGCATTCTCATAATAAGCTTCCTTTTTAGTACTGTTTTTGTTCCATCATATAAGTTTTCATATCTTTTCATTTCTATTTTTCTCAAGGTATTTTCTTTCTTTCATTCTTCTTTAACCCATATATTGCTCAATAGAATCTTATAAAATTCCTACACATTTGTAATTTTTTTAGTTTTACTTCTGCTATTGAGTTCTAGTTTTACTTCGTTGTGATTGGAAAAGATTGGCATAATTTTAATCATCTTGAGTTGTTATGATTTGTTTTATGACTTAACATGTAATCTATCCTGGAGAATGTTTTGTGTGCACTCAAAAAGAATGTATATTCTGCCGCTGTTTGGTGGAATGTTCTGGATAAGTATGTTATTTGCATTTGATCAATAACGTTATTCGGGTCTCCTGTTTCTTTATCAATTTTCTGCTTGCATATTCTATCCATTATTGAAAATGGAGTATTGAAGTCCTCTGTTATTGTATTTCCATCTATTTCTCACTTAAGTTCTGTTAATATTTGCTTTGTGTATTAAACATCTTTGATATTGTGTGCACATACATTATAACTGTTGTATCTTCCTGGTGGATTGGCCCTTTTATCAATATATAATAACTTTCCTTATTTCTTGTAACAGTTTTTGACTTACAACGAATGCCAAGTACACTACTAAACTTAATTTTATTCTTTGTACTACCTTTCCTACTCTTTTTTTTTCTCTATTTGGTAGACCTGCGATTATAACTTTCTAGAAATATTTAGCATGTATGTAGAAACAAATTCTGATCAAATTCTGATGTTCTGCAATTGTGTCCTACCTACCTTAGGTTCAGATTTTACATCAGATATGCAAGAATATAAAATTGAATATTTTTAATAACTGAAGCTCAGATTCAGAATGTAAATTCTGAAAATTTGTGGATCTTATTCTCTTTCTTTTTCTATATACACAGAGGATCTTTTCAATATTCTCTATCTTAGTTTGTCTGGAGCAAGGCCAAAAAAATAGTTAAACACCTCATTGTAAAACATTGATATTCCTCTCAATACTTCAGATTCTATTAGTCTGGACCATATAAAAATGACATTTTTAAAAGTCAAATTCTTTTGACTATGACAATTGCATAAGGCTTCACTTAATAATTTCAAATATTTCAAATTTTCTTTAGATGTGTCCTAAGTTATTGAGAACTATGGAATGACAAATTTTAATATTTTCATAATTCTGTTAGAGGTATAAACATGTTTCATTTAGTTTAAATTTCAAAAAAACTAGTGTTCAATTATATGTCTGTATATGGTGTTCAATTATATTATGTTACAATTTAATACAGAAATTTTGATGTATTTTCTTCTGCACTATTGATTGATCATTATTTGTTGATTCCTCTGACATTCATTAAATTAAAATCATAACACTGTGATTTATGGAGTTCTGATATTATAGTTATAAATGGACAAGTTTCATTTTTACAGTATGAAATTTTCTTAGAATATTTTATCATAATAAAGTACTTTACAAAAGACTTAATACTGCTTCTCTATCCATCTGAAATGCTTTTAATGTGTGTCCAGATATTATGAGGACAGACTTTTATGAATAATCCAGAGCTTTCATTTATCTCAGCTTTTTGTTCTAGATTGCTGTGATCACATATGCACATACACTGAAAAATGGTCCAATAAGTTAGTATCCTAAAATGTTTTCTGTTACCATGAGCTTTCTATAGAACATGGCTATGACAAAAAAAAAAAATAAAAAAAAAATAAAAAAACAAATATTTGGAGAGTATTTTAAGACAAAACAAATCTTATAAGACTTTCAGCTGAAATAAAAAAGTAATAAGTTAAAAATTTATTAGAATAGTTATTTGAATCCACTTCCATCTCTATCCTCCAACTTCTAACCACCACTACAAAAGCCTACAAATGTATTTGTTTCTATTATAAATTGACATGAACTTTTATTTTAACTGCTAAAACAGCAATGATTTAAATATATGTTGAAATAAGAAATTTTTCACTGGAAGTTGAACCATTCGTTTTATTTTTGTCTATCTCAGAAGTAAGCTATGTCTACCATTAACAGATTTACTAAAAGTCTACATTTAATTAAAACAAAGTCCTAAATGGCAGGTTTTAAATTTTTCAAATGTTTTAAAACTTTTTTTTTCATATGATGTGAAAGTTTCTTTTTTGAAGGTTTTTGTTTTTCCTTTTGTCTTTCTCTGAAGAGTTGTGGTACAACATTATATCTGAATACGTGTGCTTTGGAGACAGTCCTGGGCTTTAATCCTAGATCCACCACTTACTATCTCTAATAAAGTCCGTGAAGCTTTGCTTCTTCATTTATAAACCAGTGATAATAGTATCTCTCTCTAAGCATTCGGATGAGCATTCAAAGCTATTTAATTTGTAAATTTAAATTGCATGCAATACGTACAGTTTACATGTCTACCTACATACATCAAATGCTACATGGTCAATAAATGGAAGATACTATTGTTCCAATATGTATAAAGTCAATTCCATTACTAATTAACTATTTGAAGCCTCAGGCTAGGAATACAATTTCAATCAATTGGTTAATATTATCCCTACAGTACAAGGAAAGTTGTCTTATAATGAAAATACAATGTCAAAATTACAAGCAAATCTGATATTTTAAGATTTAATTTTATGCTGTCAATGTCAATTATGAAAGTAAATTAAAGATTTTATATTTATTCTCACAGAACCAGTTACATGAGACTTCTATTTGTTAATAAATGTGTTCCATAGATGACTCAAGGAATCCACAGATATGATGTGTATTGCATATTCTAAAATGAACAATTAATATATCCACCTAAACCACCATTTAAAGTATAAGTTAACTCCATTTTAGAGTTAGAAAATTAATCAAAGATTTTAGACTACTTAATTAATTTCAAGCTAACACAGACACAAATACACACAAACACACATGCCCTCACATATCAGGCAATGTGATAATTTTACATATTAAAATGTATAAAATTAGCCAAATAAAATACTAACACAAAATTGTATAGGAGAAAATCTGTGAACAAATATTTGCTATATATTAGACAAATATTATACAGGTATGTAACAAGTACACATGTGACAAAACTTTCTAATATCCTCCATTGCCCATCTGGGTGGCATAAAAGAGTGTAAAGATATCCACACAGTAGACACTCAGATCAAGAATATTTAAATTTTATCGCTGAAGCAAAGTAACATTTTACTTATACTATTTATTTATTTATTTATTATTTTCCATAAGTTATTGGCATACAGGTGGTACTTGGTTACATGAGTAAATTCTTTAGTGGTGATTTGTGAAATTTTGGGACACCCATCACCTGAGCAGTATACACTGCACTGTATTTGTAGTCTTTTATCCCTCACCCTCCTTCCACTCTTCCCCCTCAAGTACACAAAGTCCATTGTATCATTCTTATGCCTCTACATCCTCACAGCTTAGCTCCCACATATCAATGAGAATGTATGATATTTGGTTTTCCATTCCTGAGTTACTTCACTTAATAGTCTCCATTCCCACCGAGGTCACCGCAAACACTATTAAATCATTCCTTTTTATGGCTGTGTAGTATACTATCTCATATATATAATATATACATTATACATACATAGAATATATATCTATATATACAACATACATAGAATATATATTCTATATATAATATATATCTATATTCTATATATTCTACATATATTCTATATAGAATATAGAATATATATACAATATTCTATATAGAATATAGAATATATATACTATATATATTCTATATAGAATATATATTCAACATATATTCCATATATATTCTACATAGAATATATATTCAATATATATTCCATATATTCTCTATAGAATATATATTCAATATATATTCCATATGTATTCTCTATAGAATATATATTCAATATATATTGAATATATATACTATACAGAATATATATTCCATATATATTCTATATAGAATATATATTCCAGACAGAATATATAGAGTCCATATTCTATGTAGAATATAGATTCCATATAGAATATATAGAATCTATATTCTATATAGAGTATGTATTCCATATAAAATCTATATTCTATATAGAATATATATTCCATATAGAATATATAGAATCTATATTTTATATAGAATATATATAGAATACATATAGAATATATATAGAATATTTATTCAATACTTACAGAATATATATTCTATATAGAATACATATAGAATATATATAGAATATATATTCTACATTGAATCTATATAGACTATACATACTATATAGAATATACATAGAATATACATAGAATATACATAGAATATATATTCTATATAGAATATACATAGAACATACATTCTATACAGAATCTATATAGAATATATAGAATCTATATTCTATATATATACTATATAGAGTATATATAGACTATATATAGAATATATGTTCTATATAGACTATATATAGAATATATGTTCTATATAGACTATATATAGAATATATGTTCTATATAGACTATATATAGAATATATGTTCTATATAGACTATATATAGAATATATGTTCTATATAGACTATATATAGAATATATGTTCTATATACAATATATATAGAATATGTGTTCTATATACAATATATATAGAATATGTGTTCTATATACAATATATATAGAATATGTGTTCTATATACAATATATATAGAATATGTGTTCTATATACTATATATAGAATATGTGTTCTATATAGAATATATATAGAATATGTGTTCTATATAGAATATATATAGAATATGTGTTCTATATAGAATATATATAGAATGTGTGTTCTATATAGAATATATATTCTATATAGAATATATATAGAATGTATATTCTATATAGAGTATATATAGAATGTATATTCTATATAGAGTATATATAGAATGTATATTCTATATAGAGTATATATAGAATGTATACTCTATATAGAGTATATATAGAATGTATACTCTATAAAGAGTATATATAGAATGTATACTCTATATAGAGTATATATAGAATGTATACTCTATATAGAGTATATATAGAATGTATACTCTATATAGAGTATATATAGAATGTATATTCTATATATACTATATATAGAATATATATAGAATGTATATTCTATATATAGTATATATAGAATATATATAGAATGTATATTCTACATATAGTATATATAGAATATATATAGAATGTATATTCTATATATAGTATATGTAGAATGTATATTCTATATATACTATATATAGAATATATATAGAATGTATATTCAGTATAGTATATATAGAATGTATATTCAATATAGTATATATAGAATATATATAGAATATATATTCTATATGGTATATATAGAGAATATATACAGAATATATATAGAATATATATAGAATATAGAACATATATAGAATATATATGGAATATATAAAGAATATATATTCTATATATAATATATATAGAATATATATTATATATAGAATATATATAGAATATATATAGAATATATAGAATATATATTGTATATAGAATATATAGAATATATATTGTATATAGAATATATAGAATATATATAGAATATATATAATATATATAATATATATAGAATATATATCATTTATAGAATATATATAGAATATATATTATTTATAGAATATATATAGAATATATATTATTTATAGAATAAATAAAGAATATATATAGAGTATATAACATATAAAGAATATATATAGAATATAGATTATATATAGATTATATATAGAATATATATAGAATATAGATTATAGAATATATATAGAATATAGTTAGAATATAGAATATATATAGAATATATATAGAATATAGATTATATACAGAATATATAGAATATATATAGAATATAGATTATATACAGAATATATAGAATATATAGAATATAGATTATATACAGAATATATAAAATATATATAGAATATAGATTATATATAGAATATATAGAATATACATTATATAGAATATATAGAATATATAGAATATATATAGAATGCATATAATATATAGAATATATATAGAATGAATATAATATATAGACTATATACAGAATGTATATTATATATAGAATATTTATGGAATGTATATTATATATGGAATATATATAGAGTGTATATTATATATAGAATATATGTAGAATATATATTATATATAGAATATATGTAGAATGTATATTATATATAGAATATATAGAGAGTATACATTATATAAAGAATATATATAGAAAAATATATATTATAGAATATATATAGAATTTATATTATATAGAGAATATATATAGAATGTATATTATATAGAGAATATATATAGAATATATATTATATAGAGAATATATATAGAATATATATTATATATAGAATATATATAGATAAATATATATTAAAGAATATATAGAGAATTTATTCTATATTATATATAGAATTCTATATATAATTCTATATATGTTATATATATTCTATATAATATATGGAGTATATTACGTACATTCTATATAATATAATATGGAGTATATTACGTATATTCTTTATAATATAATATGGAGCATATTACGTATATTCTGTATAATATAATATGGAGCATATTACGTATATTCTGTATAATATAATATGGAGTATATTACTTATATTCTATATAATATAATAAGGAGTATATTACGTATATTCTATATAATATAATATGGAGGATATTACGTATATTCTATATACTATAATGTAGAGTATATTATATATGTTCCATATACTATAATGTAGAGTATATTGTATATATTCCATATACTATAATGTAGAGTATATTATATATATTCCATATACTATAATGTAGGGTATATTATATATATTCTATATACTATAATGTAGAGTATATTATAAATATTCTATATACTATCATGTAGAGTATATTATATATATTCTATATACTATAATGTAGAGTATATTATATATTCTATGTAATATAATGTATAGTATATTATATAATCTATGTAATATAATATAGAGTATATTATATAATCTATATAATATAAGAGTATATTATATAATCTATATAATATAATATAGAGTATATTATATAATCTATATAATATAATATAGAGTATATTATATAATCTATAAAATATGGAGTATATTATATAAATATAGAGTATATTATATAATCTATATAACATGGAGTATATTATATAATCTATATAACATAGAGTATATTATATAATCTATATAATATAGAGTATACTATATAATCTATATAATATAGAGTATACTATATAATCTATATAATATAATATAGGGTATATTATATGTATTCTATATAATATAATATAGGGTATATTATATATATTCTATATAATGTAATATAGAGTATATTATATATATTCTATATAATATAATATAGAGTATATTATATATATTCAATATAATATAGAGTATATTATATATATTCAATATAATATAATAGAGTATATTATATATATTCTATATAATATGAGTATATTATTTATATTCTATATAATATAATATAGAATATATTATATATATTCTAAATATTATAAGATAGAGTATATTATATATATATTCTAAATATTATAATATAGAGTATATTATTATATATTCTATATAATATAATATAGAGTATATTATTATATACTCTATGTTATATTATATAGAGTATATAATAATATACTCTATACTATATAGTATAGAGTATATTATTATATACTCTATATAATATAATATAGAATATATTGTATATATTCCGTATAATACAATATACAATATATTGTATATATTCCGTATAATACAATGTAGAATATATCGTATATATTCCGTATAATACAATGTAGAATATATCGTATATATTCCGTATAGTACAATGTAGAATATATCGTATATATTCCGTATAATGCAATGTAGAATATATCGTATATATTCCGTATAATGCAATGTAGAATACCTTGTATATATTCCGTATAATGCAATGTAGAATACATTGTATGTATTCCGTATAATGCAATGTAGAATACATTGTATATATTCCGTATAATGCAAGGTAGAATACATTGTATATATTCCCTATAATGCAAGGTAGAATACATTGTATATATTCCGTATAATGCAAGGTAGAATACATTGTATATATTCCGTATAATGCAAGGTAGAATACATTGTGTATATTCCCTATAATGCAAGGTAGAATACATTGTATATATTCCCTATAATGCAAGGTAGAATACATTGTATATATTCCCTATAATGGAAGGTAGAATACATTGTATATATTCCCTATAATGCAAGGTAGAATACATTGTATATATTCCCTATAATGCAAGGTAGAATACATTGTATATATTCTATGTAATGCAAGGTAGAATACATTGTATATATTCCATGTAATGCAAGGTAGAATACATTGTATATATTCCCTATAATGCAAGGTAGGATACATTGTATATATTCCCTATAATGCAAGGTAGGATACATTGTATATATTCCCTATAATGCAAGGTAGAATACATTGTATATATTCCCTATAATGCAAGGTAGAATACATTGTATATATTCTATGTAATGCAAGGTAGAATACATTGTATATATTCCATGTAATGCAAGGTAGAATACATTTTATATATTCCATGTAATGCAAGGTAGAATACATTGTATATATTCCATGTAATGCAAGGTAGAATGCATTGTATATATTCCAAGTAATGCAAGGTACAATACATTGTGTATATTCCATGTAATGCAAGGTAGAGTACATTGTATATATTCCATGTAATGCAAGGTAGAATACATTGTATATATTCCATGTAATGCAAGGTAGAATACATTGTATATATTCCATGTAATGCAAGGTAGAATACATTGTATATGTTCTATGTAATGCAAGGTAGAATACATTGTATATGTTCTATGTAATGCAATGTAGAATACATTGTATATGTTCTATGTAATGCAAGGTAGAATACATTGTGTATGTTCAATGTAATGCAAGGTTGATTACATTGTATATATTCAATGTAATGCAATGTAGAATACATTGTATATGTTCTATGTAATGCAATGTAGAATACATTGTATATGTTCTATGTAATGCAATGTAGAATACATTGTATATGTTCTATGTAATGCAATGTAGAATACATTGTATATGTTCTATGTAATGCAATGTAGAATACATTGTACATGTTCTATGTAATGCAATGTAGAATACTTTGTATATATTTTATGTAATGCAATGTAGAATACGTTGTATATGTTCTATGTAATGCAATGTAAAATATTATATATATTCTATGTAATATAGAATATATTATGTATATTCTATATAATATAGAATATATTATGTATATTCTATATAATATAGAATATATTATGTATATTCTATATAATATAGAATATATTATGTATATTCTATATAATATAGAATATATTATGTATATTCTATGTAATATAATATAGAATATATTATGTATATTCTATGTAATATAATATAGAATATATTATGTATATTGTATGTAATATAATATAGAATATATTATGTATATTGTATGTAATATAATATAGAATATATTATCTATATTCTATGTAATATATTCTATGTTCTTTTATATATATGTTCTATTGTATATATGATACATATATATGTATATATCACAGTTTATTTATCCACTCATTGATGGGCATTTGGGTTGGTTCCATGATTTTGCAGCTGTGAATTGTGCTGTTATAAACAGAGGTATGCAAGTGTCTTTTTTGAATAATGACTTCTTTTTCTCTGTGTAGATAGCCAGTGGTGGGATTGCTGGATCAAATGGTAGCTCTACTTTTAATTCTTTAAGGAATCACTGTACTGTTTTCCATAGTGGCTGTACTTGTTTACATTTCCACCAGCAGTGTAGAAGTGTTCCCTGTTCATTGCCTCCACACCAACATCTACTGTTTTTTGGTTTTTTGATTATGGCTGTTCTTACAGGAGTGACTTGGTATAACATTGTGGTTTTGACTTTTCATTTCCCCAGTCATTAGTGATGTTGAACATTTTTTTCATATGTTTGTTGGCCATTTGTATATCTTCTTTTGAAAATTTTCTATTCATGCCCTCAGCCTACTTTTTGATGGGATTGTTTTACTCTTATTGATTTGTTTGAATTTGCTGTAGATTCTGGATATTTAGTCCTTTGTTGGATATATAGATTGTAAAGATTTTCTCCCACTCTGTGGGTTGTCTGTTTACTCTGCTCACTGTTCCTTTTGCTGTGCAAAAGCTCTTTAGTTTAACTAGGTCCCACCTATTTATCTTTGTTTTTATTTCATTTGCTTTTGGGATTTTGGTCATGAAATCCCTGCCTAAGCCAATGTCCAGAAGGGTTTTTCCAATGTTATCTTCTAGAATTTTTATACTTACACTTTTTAAATTGCCACTTTATCAACAATGGAAAGAATGGATAAAAAGAAAACAAGATTTTACTAGTAACCTATTGAAAATCTATCACATAATATCATCGTATTGAATTTTATTTTCTATTTCAATTTGAATTATTCAGCAATTCTGACTATTGGCCTCAATGTCTCTGTGGAAGCAAGCATTTTCTGAAGCAACAACAATAAATACATAACAGTCAAGAATTCTGAAAAAAATATCATGCCTTAAAGAAGTATACTTTAAATATTTTGTTAATATAGAGAATAAGTGGTAAGATTCCAATAAAAATTGTCTTACGAAAGGCATTTATGCATTTTCTATTTTAAAAACATAATAATTTTAGATTTTTCTTAAAATAAAACATAATAGTCTATCGGTTATCTAATATCATAGCTTATATAGAAAAGGCAGAATACTTACTCTATTTACCAGTAATCAGCATAATGTTCTGATTCACAAACCTCCCTTTTTGCTGTATAAATATGACTCATGTATTTTAAACATATTTGATCTGTGTCAATCCATTGCAAATATTACACTTAATAACAATTTTCTTTTTATATGCATTTATGTTTTTCAGACATATAATGTATACGATGTTGAATTAAATGTATCTTTTTTAATCTGTAGTTTTAATAGTGAACATAGGAACTTTGTTAATTAAAAAGAAATATTAAAATATTAAGACTTTGTTTTACTTCTGGCAGTGAGATGGTGTAGCTTTGAAGGCCCTTTGACCCTACAGAAATACAAACTTACTCTTGATGAATTAAAACCATCACACCTCTAAGTACATTTTTACTTTATCTGAAATCTCAACATAATGTAAGATCAAGCTGAAACCAGAGCAAGAAGAGATCAAGGAGGTTGGATGAAATGGGGACAAATGCCGATGGCTGGAACCAAAGCTTTGGAAAATAAAGATTTCAAAGCAATGGAGAAGATATTTAGATCTAAGACACACAATGAAAAGAAAGCAATAGAAGGGCCAATATCATCTGTTAAAGTGTGGCACAGAAAACCTCAACCTTTAAGGAGAGCATCAATAAAAAATGAGGATAGTGTTACTGATATTTTGCTTAATCACAATTAATGTAAGTTCTTAATTTTAAAAAAATCAAACACATGAAGAGACAATCCACTAGGAGCAATACTGAGTAAAAATACCAAATAATAGATTGAGTACCCTGGGACTTCAGATGTTGAAATATATACAATATAAAATAATAACTAATGAGGAGGGTTTCTAAAAAGTTGTAGTTAAAAATAAAATAAAAGGAATGAAAGAATGAAAAGATATATGTTTGAAAATATATCAAAACAGAACTTTTAAAGGTAGAAATATTATATATATATATATGTCACTAGATGTGCTAGATAACAGTTTAACACTGAAAAGTAGAAAAGAAGATTATTATGAGAAAAATGAAAGAGTCATGGAATGATGAATCTTATATTAGTGTGGGAAACTCAAGATATTTCTCTGATTATTTTTAACTTTTTGTTATAGAAAAACTTCAACCTATTCAAAAGTATGTAGAATGGCATGGTGGACCCCATATACTCATCACACAGCTTCCGTAATTATTAATCCTGCTGGTTTTATTTCAAATACGTACCTATTATTTTAAGAAAATTCCCATTATCCATATCATTTCTGCCCATAGTATTTAAGTATGTTTTACTATCAGATAAACACTCTTAAAAATAGGCATAAATTCAAATATCTACTCAATGTTTTAAATTTCAATTATCACATCAGGTTCAATTTCATCTTCAGTTTGTTTGAATGAATATTCAAACATGTTCTACACATTTCAATTTGTAAGACTCTTATGTCTCTTTTAATTCAGAAGTGCCGCCTACATTTGTTTTTTTTTTTCTGCAATTCATTTGTTGAAGAAACTGGATCATTTGACCTCTAGTACTTCTCACAGACTGAATTTTGCTAACTATATCCCTGTGGCATTGTCTCTGTATTTTTTGAAATGTGGTCATTGGCTCTAGAGGCTGATCAGATTTGGATTTGCTTTTTTTTTTTCTTTCTTTTTTTTTTTTTTTTCAAGTATCCTTAATAGGCAGTGGAGAGTACACTTCTATCCTGGAGTACATGCTATCTAGTTACCTCTCTTTTTGTGAAGTTAGTGATCGTTGATGATCAATGCTTAGGTCCATTAATTTATTCCAGTGTCTCAAAGTTGACTATAATTCTGTCAATCTTTCCCACTTCACTAGCTGGAATGTTTTTGGAAAGAGAAATATTTCCTCATCTATTATTGGTTATCTAATATCATAGCTTACATAGAAAAGGCAGAATACTTACTCTATTTACCAGTATTCAACATAATGTTCTGATTCACAAACCTCCTCTATTAATTTCCCTTTTTGCTGTGTAACTATGACTCACGTATTTTAAACGTATTTGATGTGTGTCAATCCACTGCAAATATTACACTTATCAATGTCGAGATTTTTCCATCTTTGGAAAGTGTAACTATCTGCAACTTGGTTCCTGAGTCCTTTTGGCATGATTTTTGCATTCTTCCTTGTTTCTTTGCTGTTTAATATGTCAAAATATTAAAGGAAAATGGTATTTAGAAAACAGACTCTGGGTCACATGTTTATTGCTACCGAGTTGGTTGTGCTAGCCCTTATCAGTGGACTAGATCGAATAAATAGTTAAATAACTTTTTTATTCTTAAAGAGAGCACACATTATATATTTATATTAAACTTTCTATTAAGATTCAAGACTACAAAGGCTTATCCTCTTATATCACACATTTTTTTTTCTCTCCCGGAGCATCTCAATTTGCAACTACATGAAAAATAATGAAATTAGAATATCATATTTGCTTTACCCCATAATGCAAACACAAAACCTTAAATTACCAATTCTAGCTACAACAAAATATATTTAACTATAAATACTTTGTTTTTATCCTTATAATATGTATATAGCATTAAGGCTTTAAAATCAAATTATCACATTTAAAGTCCCACTTTCTGATTTTCATCCAAACTCCACATATGTGCATTGGCATCTTTTAAAAACTATTTCCCGAACCACCTTATGATGTTTGTGAAATGCTAATTGTTTATTTCCATCATTTATTCTACATGTATTAGTTGGCATTTTATAGTGAAACAGAGTTTATCATTCACCTCAGGTATTTATTACTAATTTATATATTTATAATGGAATAGACTCATGAATTCTTCATTTATCCAATAAGTTACAATGTCTTACTTTCATTTATTTTGATGTTCAAAATTAACCAGATTTAGCCAGCATAAACAGTGTTAAGAGGAAAGGTTCTCATGTTAAATGACTATTTCAAAAAGTTAGAAAGATCTCAAATTAACAATCTGACATCATTATCTAGAGGAACTATAAAAACAAGAATGAACTAACCTGACATATCACAGAATAAATAAAATGAATAAAACCAGAACAGAATTAAACAAAATTTAGACCAAAAATTCCATATAAAGAATCATCAAAATCAACTTTGTTCTCTGAAAGGATAAAAAATATTGATAGATTGGCAGATAGATTAATGAAGCAAAAAAAAAGAGAAAATCAAAATGAGCACAAACAGAAATGAAAAAGATGAAATTACAATCAATCCCACAGAAACATTTAATACAAAAGATCTTCAGTGACAATTATGACCACTTCTATGCACACAAACTGGAAAATCTGAAGGAAATGAATAAATTCCCAGAAATATACAACCTCCTGAAATTAAGTCAGGAAGAAACTAAAACCTTGAACAGACCAATATTGAGTTTTGGAACTGAAGCAGTAATAAAAAACCCACCAACCAACAAAAGCCCCAGATCACATGGATTCACAGTTAAATTCTACCAGTCACACAAAGAAGAGCTGGTAGCAATTCTGCTGAAACAATTCCAAAAAATCAAGAAGGGACTCCTCCCTAACTTATTCTATGAACCAAGCATCACTGCATCACTCTGCCACCAAAACCTGGCAAAGACACAACAAAATAAAGAAAACTATGTTCAGGCCAATGTCGCTGATGAACAAAAATGCAAAAATTCTCAACAAAATACTAGCAAACTGAATCCAGCAGCACATCAAAGAGTTAATTCACCATGATCAAGTAGGCTTCACTCTTGGGTTGCAAATTTAGTTCAACATACAAAAATCAATAAATATAATTCACCACATAAACAGATATAAAAATAAAAAACATATGATCATCTCAATAGATGTGGAAAAAGTCTTAGATAAAATCCAATGTCCTTTATGATAAAAACTCTCAAAAAGCTAAGCATTAAAGGAACATACCTCAAAATATTATTTCTTGGTTTCCCATATGAACTTTTTTCTTATGGCAGTCAATTAAAAGTTGCTGCTTTTCAGATTATTTTTCCTTTTACTCTTAAATCCCTATTCTCCTAGAGGTGTCATTCAATATTTCACTGTCAAGTGTAATATTAGATCTAGGTTCTTCCTTGGTGTTCTTTATCAGGTTGAAGGATTTACATTCTATGCCTACTTTACTAAGAGTTTAATAGGAGTATATCTTGGAATTTGTCAAATGATCAATCTGACATTGATGGACATTTCAATTTTAAATAAGACTTTTGTTTCTGAATAGACTCCACTTGGTTCGGATGTGGTGTATATACATTCATATGTGTGCACATACACATATTTTGGTGTATACAACTTTGTTATTTGCTTTGTTGAGGATTTTTGTATTCATGTTCATGTACTATACTGATGTGTAATTTTTTTTGTACTGGTTTTGGTATTACAATTAATAGTGGCCTCATAAAAGTCAAAGAGTTTTGCCTCCTCTTCTAATTTCTGTGAGAAGTTTGGTAGAATTTGTGTTTATTGTTCTTTAAAATCTGTATAATTTTCCAGTAAAACCATGTGGACCTGGAGATGTTTTTTGAAAGCGTTTTAAATTACAGAGTTAATATCTTAATTGTTATAGTACTATTCATATAATCTTTTTCATCCTGAGTGAGTTTTGGCAGTATTTATCTGAAGAATTGGTTCATTTCGTCTAAGTTGTCAAATGAATGCAAGTAAATTCATTCATATTGTTTCATAATTATCATAATTATTGTATTAATGTCTGAGGGGTCTTACTTATATACTCTCTCTCATTCCTAATTTCTGATACTGGCAAATTTGTTCTCTCTGTTTCTTTATTATATTTATTGATGAAATTTCAAAGAGTATTTTACAATAAGATGTTATGCCCAGTCACTATCTCAGAATCATGAGTGCATTTGTGTCAAATTCCAGTGATGAAATATGTAGGAGAGACCCATGTAATCTACAACTGAAGAGAATCCTGATTGTATCTTCTCTCAGTTCTTTCTTTACCACAGTTCATTCCTTCACCACAGTTCATTCCTTCAGCTAATTGTATGGGCACACAGAAATCCATCAGATAAGTGTATTTTTTGCTTAAGTAAAATACAGTTGATTTTTGTTTTTTACCTCTAAGAACATTAAAGTGTACCTATAAGACCTTATAATATACACAGAAAAATGCTGATAGATACTTGTTAAGGGAAACAATTCATTTATTCTGGGTCACATATAATATGAAGCCTCGAAGGGAAAACATCCAAAGAAAAATGTGTATGATGGTACTAGGTGACTTTACAAACACTTGAAAATGAGCAAGGACTATAATTTTAATGGAATTCGTCTTTTAGTTGAAGTATTTAATTTCTGAACCTACACTTTATTTTCTGTAAAATTAAATTAATGAGGAAAAATAATGGAGGAGATCACAGTAGCAGATACTTTAAGAGCCAAGATGAAAAGAAGCTCCTGGAAGCCAACAAAGTGAAGATTGAGGGACACAGAGATATAGAGAAAGCTTCTCACTCAACATGGTTTTCTGAGAAACTATAAAGTGCCATTTAGAAAAGAACTTTACAGAAACTTTTAGTTTCTAAAATATGTGTATATATACATATATACATATACATATACAATATATACATATACATACACACATATTTTTAAAACCCTGAAAAAAATTGGTTACCTCTGTCTACCACACTTTATAATTTTGTTGCTTTTATTTCTTGCTTTTATTTCTAACTAACCATGATGAGAAAACAGATCTAATATTTGTTTAGGAAATATATTTAAATCACATTTCATCTACTAAAAATATACCTTATATTAGTGAATCATGAGCATAATTCCTTTGCCCTTCTGCTATCGATATTTCTATCTTTTTTCCTTGAGCAATCTATGGATATTTTTATAACTTTTTCCACGCTCAACATTTAGCCTAATAGATAAAAATTTCCAAGACCATTCCTGGGGTGATAAGAATCAACTGCCAGAAGAACAAGTGCAAGCACAGGATTTAATTCAAATAATTTAAATTTGTGGCTTTGAGCCATTAGTCCAATTAAAAGTGGCATCCTTGCCAAATAAGTAGGACAACAGAAGAAAGAAAATGGGGCCGTCTGAATAGAAAACAATATCTACCTTTGACATATAAAAATCTACTCTTGATATATCCCTAAATATTTATGGTGTCAATTTAATTTAAGCATAAGATTATATTTAAAAAATACTTGCTAAATGCTTTTTCAAATAATTAGGAATTCATAATTGTAAAGTCTTTACTTGTGGCTATTACTAAAATAAGATCTTTTAGGATAGTGAGAATTAAGACACTCCAAGGTGCAATTTCTGTCATGTAGTACTAGTTGATAAAACTAAGGTAGTAGGCCGGGCGTGGTGGCTCACGCCTGTAATCCCAGCATTTTGGGAGGCCCAGGCGGGCGGATCACGAGGTCAGGAGATCGAGACCATCCTGGCCAACGCGGTGAAACCCCGTCTGTACTAAAAAAACTACAAAAAATTAGCCGGGCGTGGTGGCGGGCGCCTGTTGTCCCAGCTACTCCAGAGGCTGAGGCACGAGAATGGCGTGAACCCGGGAGGCGGAGCTTGCAGTGAACCGAGATCGCGCCACTGCACTCCAGCCTGGGCGACAGAGCAAGACTCTGTCTCAAAAAACAAAAAACAAAAACAAACAAACAAAAACAACTAAGGTAGTCAATAAATTCCCTCAGTGAATATACTGAACTTTGTCCATATGCAGAGTGAATTTAATTTTGCACCTCATAATATAATCTTTGTCCATTAGCAGACGTTTAGAAACCAAGTGCTTTGCATCTTTTTTCAGTTACACATTGCCCCAAATAATTGTATCACTAAGAAGAAGAACTGAAAGTAATTTGATCAGAGTCAAATATATTATTAAACGAAGGACATAGCTTCTGATTTGTAGAAAGAGGATTTTCCAATGATTGAGTCTATGTAAAATATTGGAATTGATTCCTTCAATAATGCCTTAGTTGTAAAATTGCCCCGTAGCTACCACCTAAATCATTGCCTTAGGACGCCCTGGCTGCAGAGATATCAAGGAGGTTTTTTCTGGGATTTAGAGAAAATGATTTTTTTTGGAAGGTTTTGCCTTGTAACTCCCTTTCTTTGCTTCTATCTTAGTGGAGTATTAAGATATAGAGTCAAAATATTAAACAGTGTGCTCTAAGAGGAGCAGTCAAAGGGTTTATTAGGCTCTGCTGTATGATAGAAGGGATCTTTAAGCTCTAAGGTTCATCTAAGGCAGAAAATCCACCTAAGACTTTAGAAATAAAAGTTAGAATTCTAAATTGTTTGATTGTGTTGTATGTCTTTGTGCACTTCTTGCATGAATTTGTGGCAACCGAGGATAGTATAGAAGATATTTGCATACCAGTTCTTAGAATAGTCTTTACATCTCCTTTAAAGAAGAAAGGTGACATACTACATACATGTGAAGCACATATTGCTTCATTGCTTCAGTCCCTATTTTGGCTGTCATAAATCTGTCACATAAAATACACTTTCTAGATTAAGGCATTCATAAAATTATTTTCTTGTAGTATTTATGTTGAAAAGCAAATTCAAATGTATTCATTATATATGTAATGTTTAAAAAGTCCCAGTTCATAGTATCACTAATAATTTGATAGTTGATAATGTGACCTTAAATGCATCTTCTTACTTATTTATATTAATATCCCTACATGATGGAGTTATATGGATAAATTCAGGGCTAAAACTTTAGTCGTTCTATGCAAATATGTTTCCAGGTTTGCAGACTACTCCACATTTACAATCTACTGGTCAATTGTCATTTTTAAGGTATTAAAAACATATTCTCAGACATTTAAGTGCAAAAGTCAAACCTAGATAAGATTCAGTAGCTATTACAGTAAATAGTGAGAAGAGAGGTGAAGAATGTGTGTGTGTGCGTGTGCGTGCGTGTGCATGTGTGTGAGACTGAGGCCAGGTGAATGTCAGCCTAGAAATAAAAAGAAAAAAAGCAGAAGTCCTAAACTAATACCTATGCTCTAAGGTAATTTTCTAGTTGGAGTTATTTTCTTTTATCTTCATTTCCTTGATCCACTATTTATCTCACATTTATCAAATACTAGCAAATTAGAAAAGTCATATCAATGTCAGGTGAAGATGGAAGGGTAGCATCATATCAGCTCCCAAATTTGGGTGATTATATTATTGCAATAGGATAAAATAAAATCATTTCTAGTTTTGATATTACATAACAAGTCCTCTATAAATACTAGTGTACAGGTTTTTGTGTTAACATAAATTTTTATTTCTTTTGGGCAAATATATAGATGTGGAATTACTGGGTAGCATGGTAAGTTTATGATTATGTCTCCTAGAAACTGCTAGACTATTTGCCTAAGTGCCGGCACCATTTTGCATGTCCACCAGCGATGCAAGGTAGTTCAATTTCTAAGCATCTGTACTAGTACTTAGTATTTTACTACTACTACTACTGCCATTACTACTATTATTTTGTATTCAAGGCACTATAATAGGTGTGTAGTGATATCACATTGTAGTTTTAATTTGCATTTCTCCAGTGACCAGTGATGTTTAGTTCCCTCATATGTGTTTATTTGCCACCGATATAATTCTTGGTGATTTGTCTATTTAAATGTTTTGTTGATTTGTAAAAATTATGTTATTTCTCAAAATTGAAGGTTTAAGAAGTTTTCATATATTCAAAAGATAAATGGTTTATCAGATATATATATTATAAATATATCCTCAATATATGATGTCTTTTCAATTTCTTAAGAATGTCATTTTAAGACCAAATGGTTTATTAAGTTCAGTTTATCAAATTTTCTTCCATGGAGTATGCATTTGGTGTCATATCTAAGCTATGCTTTGTCTATTCCAAAGTCACATTGCTAAATATTTCTCCTATATTTTCTGCTCCTCCTCTTCCTCTTCTACCTCCTCCTCTTGTCTCTCCTTTAGTTTTAGATTTATGATCTATTTAGAATTAATTTACATATATCATGTAATAAATTATAAACTAAATAATACAAAAAAGTCAAGCTTTTTTTTTAATGTGGATATCCAAATATCCTATCATTATTTATTTAGAAGAATTTATTTATTAATGGATTTGCCTAGGTATCTTTGTTGAAAATCAATTGGCCAAATATGTGTACTTTTATTTCTAGACTCTTTTCTGTTCATTTGTTCTATGTCTAGTCTTTTGCTGGTACCACAGTGTTTGATTACTGCAAGTTTAGAGTTCACTCTTAAATAAAGAAAAGTGCCTTCCAGCTTTTTTCTTTATTTTTTTGAAAATTGTTTTACTGTTTTTTGTTGCTTTACTTTTGAATATAAGTTTTAGAATCTGTTTGCTAATTTCTAGAAATTCCTGCTAGAAATGTGATTGGAGTTGTGTGGAATATATAGGCAAATCAGAGCAAATTGATTTTTTTAAATATTGAGTGTTTAAAACTATGAAAATAGTATATTTCTCTAAGTTTATTTTGATTTATTTCATCTATGTTTAGTACTTTTGACTATATCTTTCTTGCCTATAAATATTTTAATATTACTGTTACATATTTTCATACATATGTTACAAACATAATATATAAAATATATATCCCCATATAATTACAAAAACAAATTCAATTTTGTAAATATAATTTTATATATTTACTTTGTATCCTGCAAACTGCTAAACTTATTATTAGTCTTGATAACATTTTTGTCATTTTTGATATTTATTTTAGATAGACAAATAATATGCAAATAGAGACAGCTTTATTATTTTTAAAAAATCTGTATGACATTTATTGATTTTTCTTATCCTATTGCACTGACTAGGGCCTTCAGTACAATAGTAAATAGATATGTCTTTGTTCCCTGTATAAGAGAAAACCTTTTAGTCTTTCTACATTAAATATTTTAGACATAAGCTTAATGTGAGTTTCTCAACCTTTGTCAAGTAGAGGAAGTACTACTTTCTTCTCAGTTTGCTGAGAGTCAGCCTGTCTCTGTGTGTGCGTGTGTTTATATGACGATGTAAAAATTTGCTAAATTTACTTTCCGCAATGCACTTTTGTATCTGTGGAGATGATTATATGGTTATTCTTCCTTAGTGTGTTGACTTGGTGGTGTAGTCTGAATGTTTGTGTCTCCTAAGTTTCATACGTTAGGACCTAAGCCTTAATGTCATGGTATTGGGAAATGGGACTTTATGAGAGGTTATTAGGTCAGGAGCACGGAGCCCTCATGCATAGTATTAGTGCCCTAATAAAATACGCTGAAAGGAGCCCATTTATCCTTTGCAACATGTGAGTAACAGTGCAAAGGTGTCATCTATGAGAAAATAAGCCTTCACCAGACACCGAATATGCTGATGTTTGATCATATACTTCTCAGCCACCAGAGCTGTGAGAAATAAATTTACTTTGTTAGTAAGCTGATCGGTCTTAGGTATTTTGTTTAAGCAATGCAAATGGACTAAGACATATAATGAATTGCACTGATTGGTTTTCAAATGTTAAATCAACCTTGCATTTTTAAAATAAAACACACTTGGTTGTAATGTCTTGTCCTTTTCTTAAATTATTGGATTGATTTGCAAATATTTTGTTGAGGATTTTTGCATATACATTCATAAGGAACATTGATCTGTAGTTTTATTTTTTTAATAACTTTTTTTTCCAATTTTGGTACCAGGGAAATGTTGCAACATCATATTATAACAAGTTCCATCTCATAAATTAAAATATTTATTTAGTATTTAGAAATTTGAAATCTAAAGTAAAATGTGATAAACTTATATGGAAATGAATAGCTGATATTGAGACTTTTTAAAAATAAAGGACGAAATGGAGAATGTATAATACTAGCTATTAAGATACGTGATTTAAAGTTTTAGGAATAAACACAAGGTGCTGTTAAAGTAGAAATATCCAAGAACTCTGGATCCTCTATTACAATGATTTACTCAAATAATGTATTTGTAAAAAAAAATTCAAAACTGTGAGTTTTGTTTCTTCTTTTCCTTTCGCCTGAAATTATTTTTTCCTAAATAACCACATGGAGGTTATTCTCTACTCTTTTAGCTTTCTGTTCAAATATAACTTTTTTCACCTTCCTTTATAAATTATCACACATCACTATCATGCTGTATATGTTTCCTGTGAATATTTTGTTCTCATTGCACTTATAATCACCTTACATACTTTAAGTTAATGTGTTTGATGATTGTCCATATCCTCAAAAATAGGTAAGCTCCATTGAGAAAAGTGATTTTCTAGTATTTATTTAGTTTGTTAGTTAATTAGTTTTTATTATTTTTAATTTCTGTACCCTAAATGCCTAAATTTGGGCCTGTTTAAAAATATAAAGTCAATAAATTTATTAATGATGAACAAACTAAAACCTGTAGGGAAAAATGTCAACTACTTTGACATGAAAAGAAAACACAATTCTATACAAGTCTGAAAGAGAATATTTGCAATTTCTAAAACTAATTATACATTAACATAATATATTTTAATCCTGAAAAAAACTAAGAAAAATAGTAAATATATTAGAAAAATGTTCAAAGGATGTAAATGGCCAGTATGTAAAAGGTAAACAGGTATAAAAGATGTCTGACAATATTCTTAGAGTAATAAGCAACACAAATATGAGCAACACTAACATAGCACCTTAGCCTGTTAGGATTAAAAGAAGTAAAATTTTGGTAATACCAAATAATCACAATGATATGGATATTTGACAACACTTTCCCTTTCCTGTTATGAGCAGATGACTTTGACATTAATGTAAATTCTCTACGTACTTACTATCTCAAAATTGTATTTATATGCTTAAATTTAGTAACAGATCATTTTAGGAACAGATATTAATATATTCATGATACCAATAAGAGGGGTGGCAGAAATTTAGATATAAGGTCTATCAGTGGGAGTATGAATAAAAGTAAAGTGTGCTGGGTATGTAAAATGGAATGCTGTGATGCAGGCAAACACAAATAACTGGTTGTGTACAGAAAAATAAAAAGGGTAAAATTTAATTTTATGTTAAAATATGATTCATAAAAATACTGGTTTTGAAAATAAAATATAATTCAATACTATACCTTCAGATGATATTTATTATATATATAAAGGTATGTCTTATTTTAAGTAGAGCAAAGTAGGTGTCTATGTATGGAAGGGGATGGGAATTGGGTCTAGGATTGAAAATGAATATCAAGGGCTTTTGCAGGGACAAATGAGAGTGAATAACCTGAGGTTAGATTAATTCAACTATTTGCATATGTGGTCTTACAACTTTTAAAGAGAGTTTAAATATCCAAGGCAAACAGATACAAGCACATGATGATAGCATATGTCTAGAGTGATTTAGTTGGGAGCCTGTCACGGCCTATGTGTTTGGTAATTGTGTTAGAAAGATCCGTATAGTGAAGATTAACATATCAGTACATGTCAGACTTATAACACAAGTCATCAACCTACTTTGAATTAGCTATTTTGATAATCACTGAGAAAAATTCAGATGATAATTGGCAATTCAATTAGGTTGGAATATAGTGACAGGAAATACTGAGTGAGCACAAATATCTTGTTTGCTTATTACATTTCTTTTTTTAAAAATAAATGTGACATTTATGTTTTAAGTAAATGTGTTTCTTATTGAGTGTAGTTTCCACGAGAGGATTTGGGAAGCTATTTTCTATTACTGAAATAACAACTGATTTTCCAGTCTTGCAATGGTAAACAACAGACCCTGGAGTTTGAGGACAACACCAAGGTACTGCCATACTTGAGGTGGAGATGGCGTTTCTCAGGTGAGATACTCCTCCATTTCAACATTTCTGTTCCATCTAGGATACCATTTCCTCCTCAGGTTGTAAGGTTAAGGTAGGAATCATAAAAAATTAATTATTAATATCTGTTAAATTTTAAAATGGTGATTATTGAGATACACATTAACACCATAGTAGACATTTTACATCTCATCAAGGAAGGCATGTTAAAAAGGTAAAAAATGGAAAAAATGACAGAGGAAATATTATTTTTTCAAAAAACAGAATAATTTTTTGTACAAAACTTGCCTTTTACAGAGGTTGCAGTGAGCCGAGATTGTACCACTGCAATCCAGCCTGGTGAAGGAACGAGACTAAAGTCTAAAAGACAAAAAATAAAACAAACAAACAAAATAAACCTTGCCTATTCATTTACCTCTATATAAGGATTACTACACTCCACATTTCCTCATCTGACATGAAAATATCTATGTACTTGTATGATTTTAGCTTTAGAAAAATATTTCAAAAGTGGATTGTTTGGAGTAATCTAAAAATCGATCAATTGTAATATTTAGAAACTGGTGGTTTTCAGTTTGTTTGCACCATATAAGTATTTTGTATTGGCTGCTTAAAAATATCTGGACTAGCACTTAAAAATTAGCATTCAGACATTTGAAATAAAACAGTTTGATATGCATGCAAATAAAGAAATTTGCTGTATTACTCCAAATTCCTGCATGGTAACAATTTCAGAAGACCAGTTTGGAAGGAGTAGTTACTCTTTAGTTTGCTGAAATTGTCACCTGATAAATTTAATTAACTTAAATTACCTATCACTTCTCTGTGGATATTTGAATCTATGTCTCATATTCAGACTAATCATTTAATTTCACAGGTGAGAAATTAGAGTTTAATTATAATTAGAGATAGGTGACCTCACAGAAGATGATGGTGATGAAAATTGGTTAGAACAGAAGAAATCTTTAAGTTTGATTTATGTTTCCACCATACAGTGGTAATTCATCCATTCTGACAGTTTGAAAATTATAAGCAATGTCTTTTGATTATTCTAACACATAACCACATTTTAAAAATATAAAGTTAATTGTCAATCACTCTTAAGATTAATTGTCATTCTTAAGAGGTACCTTGGCTAGGATACACATGTTAATTTATTTAAATAATTTAATGAGCAATAGAGTAACATTTTGAATTTCTGAACTTTACTTCAATTTTCTAATACTAATACAATGAGAAGGTGTAAATTGCTCCAGTGTTTAATGTTTGGTGAATTTTTTAAAGGTAGAATTCAGCATGCAAGAATATATCAATAAGGCATAGAGCATAGGTTTTGTGTTGTATAGTTTTGCAGATAAGAGAATACTCCATTTAGGACATTAATTTTATGTTTTATAACAACAATTTGTATTAGAGCCTTACTGCCCAGAAAAGGGTGACAAATGGACTTCCCAAAAACATAATATTTTTGAACTTACTTTTAATGGGAGCAGCTCTCCATTCTAAAGCTGTACTCCATTTTAGTTTATCAACAAGGCAAATCTAAGTTATAGATAATTAACTATTTTGCTTAAGTTCAAAAAGCAATTTCAACACAAGAAGCAAATACAAACTAAAACCTCTGTCCCATAAAGCTTGCAGCCATGGCTCCTAGAGTTCCCAGTAATTTTATTCTTTATCCTTCCTCTGGAATCTCCTATCACCCAGTTGAAATACATGTCTCCTAAACCTTTCTTTTTTCTGATTTGTAGATAAGTTAATTTCTCTCTTTGCTCTTATTTATTAGCTGATGAAATGAGATAATATTAAATCTATAATGATTTCATTTAACTTTAAAATGTGTTTTGAGATGAATTTTGCATAAAAAAAATGTTGTAGAAAGTAACACTTTATTGTATGGCATTATGACCAGTCATTAGGTTTGGTGAATTGGTTCTTCTTGCTAATGTTTGTGTTAAATTAAAAACACGAAATTGAGATAATCATGCATGAATCCTGCATGAGGCATTAACAATATAATGCTGGAAACAAAACTGATATCTATTGCACTATAACTAGTTAAAGCGGAAGAAAATCTTAATGCTGCAAACATTGTATGATACTTTCATCTCCTCTGGAAAGAAACAAATAGTATTATTCCAGTTCCAACAATATTAATATGGTACAGTATAATTAGGAAAAATATAAAGGTAAGTAACTACATTCAGGCAAGCCAAAAACAAGTATGTTTCTGTAGAATTACTATTTCCAAGTAATGAAAGATGTGTTAACTACCAAGGTTTGCTATTTCGATTTTTTTAAAAAAGAAAAGTTTTAAATAAGAGTAAGAATTAGCTCACAGCAGCTTAATCCCATGGCATGCTCCTAATAAATACAAATCTACTAATAATGCATTTGCCCTTGGGAGCTTTGCAAAGGCTTACAGTACTTGCTCATTCCAACAGAGTCATTTCACTCATCTGTTACCATTTTGGTTGTTTTCCTGTCTACTGACTTTTAATAATTGAGATTGTATACTGCACCCACTCCCTTCTCTGTAAACATTGACCCTTAGCTTCGGTGGCACTTGCCATCTGGAACTGTCTGTCCTCCTCTCTTCACGTCACTGGAAACCTAATTTACTGTTTGCTAAAGTACAAAACTCCCATTTAGCTCAGTGGGAGTTTGAAGAAAGATGACTGGTAGATTGAACACTGGTAATCTCCTGCCCAGTTTTGAAATGCAGCCAAAATATCGACACTTTTCTAAAAAAGGTACCTATTTTCCAGGTTAGGAATGAGCATATTTTTAAAGAAAATATCACCTCAAAAATAGTAGTTGATCAAACATACTCATCTTAGTCATTTGGAAACATATCAAGCACAAATTGCAATGCTTCTATTTCTGTGATGGAGGCAGTTGAAGAAGTAACCACTACATCATGAAGTTAAATACCATAAATCACATATGTCAATTAGGTGATCCCTTGTGATTTATAAGTCACCAATACTTTTGTCTTTATTTATTCAAAAAAGAGAGATATTCATGATTATCTCAATAGATGCAGAAAAGGCCTTCGATAAAATTTAACATCCCTTTATGCTAAAAACTCTCAATAAACTAGGTATTGATGGAACATATGTCAAAATAATAAGAGCTATTTATGACAAACCTGCAGCCAGTATCGTACTGAATAGGCAAAAGCTGGAAGCAGTCCCTTTGAAAACCAGCACAAGACAACGATGACCTCTCTCACCACTCCTATTCAACATAGTATTGGAAGCTCTGGCCAGAGCATTCAGGTAAGAGAAAGAAATAAAGGGTATTCAGATAAGAAGAGAGGAAGTCAAATTGTCTCTGCTTGCAGATGACATGATTGTATATTTTAGAAAACCCCATCATCTCAGCCCAAAATCTCCTTAAGCTGATAAGCAACTTCAGCAAAGTCTCAGGATACAAATTCAATGTGCAAAAATCCCAAGCATTCCTATACACCAATAATAGACAGAGAGCCAATTGTGAACTGCCATTCACAATTGTGACAAAGAGAATAAAATACCTAGGAATACATCTTACAATAGATGTGAAGGACCCCTTAAGGAGAACTACAAACCAATGCTTGAGGAAATAAGAGAGGACACAAACAAATGGAAAAACATTCCATGCTCATGGATAGAAAGAATCAATATCATAAAAATGGCCATACTGCCGAAAGTAATTTGTAGAATCAATCCTATCCCCATCAAGCTACCATTGACTTTCTTCACAGAATTAAAAAAACCTAAATTTCATATAGAATTTTTAAAAATCCAAAAAAGAGCCCATATAGCCAAGACAATCCTAAGCAAAAAGAAAAAATCTAGAGGCATCATGCTACCTGCCTTCAAACTATACTACAAGGCTACAGTAACAAAAACAGCATGGTACTGGTAACAAAGCAGATATATAGACCAATGGAACAGAATGAAGGCCTTAGAAATAATGCCACTTATCTACAACCATCTGTTCTTTGATAAATCTGTCAAAGCAATGGGGAAAGAATTTCCTATTTAATAAATAGTGTTGGAAAAACTGGTTAGCCATATGCAGAAAACTAAAACTGGACCCCTTCCTTACACCTTATAAAAAATTAACTCAAGATGGATTAAAGACTTAAGTGTAAGATATAAAACCATAAAAACCATAGGAGAAAATTAGGCAATACCATTCAGGACATAGGCAAGGGCAAAGACTTCATAACTAAAACACCAAAACCAATGGCAACAAAACCCAAAATTGACAAATCAGATCTAATTAAAATAAAGAGCTTCTGCATGGCAAAAGAAACTGTCATCAGAATGAACTGGCAACCTACAGAATGAGAGAAAATTTTTTTTTCTTTTTATTTATTTATTTATTTATTATTACACTTTAAGTTTTAGGGTACATGTGCACAATATGCAGGTTAGTTACATATGTATACATGTGCCATGCTGGTGCACTGCACCCACTAACTCGTTATCTAACATTAGGTATATCTCCCAATGCTATTCCTCTCCCCTCCCCCCACCCCACAGCAGTCCCCAGAGTGTGATGTTCCCCTTCCTGTGTCCATGTGTTCTCACTGTTCAATTCCCACCTATGAGCCAGAATATGCGGTGTTTGGTTTTACTATGCAGCCATAAAAAATGATGAGTTCATGTCCTTTGTAAGGACATGGATGAAATTGGAAATCATCATTCTCAGTAAACTATCGCAAGAGAGAAAATTTTTGCTGTCTATCCAACTGACTAACAGCTAATATCCAGAATTTACAAGGAACTTAAACAAATTTACAAGAAAAAGAACAAACAACCCCATTAAAAAGTGGATAAAGGCTATGAACAGACACTTCTCAAATGAAGACATTTATAAGGCCAACAAACATATGAAAAAAAGCTCATCATCACTGGTCTTTAGAGAAACAGAAATCAAAACCACAAAGAGATACCATCTCACGCCAATTAGTATGGCAACCATAAAAAAGTCAGGAAACAACAAATGCTGGAGAGGATGTGGAGAAATAGGAACACTTTTACACTGTTGGTGAGAGTGTAAATTAATTCAACCATTGTGGGAGACAGTGTGGTGATTCCTCAAGGATCTAGAAGCAGAAATACCATTTGACCTAGCAATCCCATTACTGGGTATATACTCAAAAGATTATAAATCATTCTACTACAAAGACATATGCACATATATGTTTATTGCAGCACTATTCACAATAGCAAAGACTTGGAACCAAGCCAAATGTCCATCAATGATAGACTGGAAAAAGGAAATGTGGCACATATACACCATGGAATACTATACAGCCATATAAAAGGATGAGTTCATGTCCTTTGCAGGGACATGGATGAAACTGGAAAACATTATTCTCAGCAAACTAAGAAGAACAGAAACACAAACACCACATGTTCTCACTCATAAGTGGGAGTTGATCAATGAGAACATGGACACAGGGAGGGGAACATCACACACTGGGGCCTGTCAGGGGTTTGGGAGATAGGGGAGAAATAATGTACAAATTAGCAGAAATACTTAATGTAGATGACAGGATGATGGGTGCAGCAAACCACCATGGCACGTGTATACCTATGTAACAAACCTGCACATTCTGCACATGTATCCCAGAACTTATAGCATAATAATAAAAAAGAGAGATACTCTCACATAAACTCAAGTAATAAGAGTTTTATCACTATACACAAATCAATTCTTACTATACAACTTGGTCTTTCAATAACTCAGAATAATCAATAAAATTAGGCTTCAGGGGAATAAGGAAAGAAATAGAGCTATCAGATAATGTATCTTAAAGGGTATCTAAAATTCACAACAGCCTCACCATATCAATTTTTATCCCAGCACAAAATATTTTATTCATTAATAATAATTATAAAATAAACTAATTTCATCAATTGCACTCTATTCTCTCTCTCTCTGTCTCTGTATGTGTGTGTGTGTGTGTGTGTGTGTGTGTGTGTGTGTCAGGACTGATCCTAGGTTGTGAGGGCCCAGTACAAAAATTTTTTTTCCAGGGTGTCTTTCCATATCCATGTGCTCATGGATGTATATCAACTTGTCAATAAAAAAAAGGCTTGTTACTTGTCTTTATTGATGAATAGCACAAATTTAAGTCTTATCTAGAGTGTGCTGGAAAAAGTGGATGATTATTTATTTTCTGGTTATATTATATTTACTACTGGAATATTTCTAGCATAAATGTAGAACAGCATATCCTCCAACTATTTATTCCCTTAGCTTGTTTCTAGTTTATCCTGCTGGATATTCAATTTTTCCTTATAGGCCTCAATAGGCTCAGAAATGTCACTTCGCAGATTCTACAAAAAGAGTATTTTGAAGCTGGTGAATCAAAACACAGGTTCCATTCTTTGATATAAAACAGCACATCACAAAGCATTTTCACACATAGCTTGAAATATGCATACTGTAACCACTGCATTATATAGGGATTATATAATATATTTTATAATATATTTTAATATTGATGGCATCATGATTCTGGCACCATATGAAGTAAAATGGAAGGGATTCATGAAGAAAGCAAAAAGAACGCTCTATTTGTGCAAAAATGTACATCACTTAGCCAGATCAGATGAATATCTTCCCAGGATAGTACAGCATGATCAGAGGCAAAAGCAAGCATCAATGGAAGTATCTGTCTATTGGATTTGTAAACCAATAAAGTCTTTGAGGAAACAGGTATGACCACTTACAGAGGATAACCTGAACAAATGTAGAGTCTGTGGTGGGGTTGGGGTAACTCCACTGGGTGTCCATAGCAGAGGGTAAAGACACCAAGAAGGCCTTCTATAACCTCTGCCCTTCTTTTTTTTTTATTATTATACTTTAAGTTCTAGGGTACATGCGTACAATGTGCAGGTTTGTTACATATGTATACATGTGCCATGTTGGTCTGCTGCACCCATTAACTCGTCATTTAGCATTAGGTATATCTCCTAATAATAAGAGCTATTTATGACAAACCCGCAGCCAGTATCATACTGAATAGGCAAAATCTGGAAGCAGTCCCTTTGAAAACCAGCACAAGACAACGATGTCCTCTCTCACCACTCCTATTCAACATAGTATTGGAAGCTCTGGCCAGAGCATTCAGGTAAGAGAAAGAAATAAAGGGTATTCAAATAAGAAGAGAGGAAGTCAAATTGTCTCTGCTCGCAGATGACATGATTGTATATTTAGAAAACCCCATCGTCTCAGCCCAAAATCTCCTTAAGCTGATAAGCAACTTCAGCAAAGTCTCAGGATACAAATTCAACGTGCAAAAATCACAAGCATTCCTATACACCAATAATAGAGAGCCAATTGTGAACTGCTATCCCTCCCCCCACCCCACAACAGGCCCAAGTGTGTGATGTTCCCCTTCCTGTGTCCATGTGTTCTCAATGTTCAATTCCCACCTGTGAGTGAGAACATGTGGTGTTTGGTTTTTTGTCCTTGTGATCGTTTTCTGAGAATGATGGTTTCCAGCTTCATCCATGTCCCTACAAAGGACATGAACTCATCATTTTTTATGGCTGCGTAGGATTCCATGGTGTATATGTGCCACATTTTCTTAATCCAGTCTATCATTTTTGGACATGTGTGTTGGTTCCAAGTCTTTGCTATTGTGAATAGTGCCGCAATAAACATACGTGTGCATGTGTCTTTATAGCAGCATGATTTATAATCCTTTGGGTACATACCCAGTAATGGGATGGCTGGGTCAAACGGTAATTCTAGTTCTATATCCCTCAGGAATGGCCACACTAACTTCCACAATGGTTGAACTAGTTTACTATCCCACCAACAGTGTAAAAGTGTTCCTATTTCTCCACATCCTCTCCAGCACTTGTTGTTTCCTGACTTTTTAATGATTGCCATTCTAACTGGTGTGAGATGGTATCTCACTGTGGTTTTGATTTGCATTTCTCTGATGGCCAGTGATGATGAGCATTTTTTTATGTGTCTTTCTGCTACATAAATGTCTTCTTTTGAGAAGTGTCTGTTCATATCCTTCGCCCACTTTTTGATGGGGTTGTTTGTTTTTTTCTTGTAAATTTGTTTGAGTTCATTGTAGATTCTGGATATTAGCCCTTTGTCAGATGAGTAGATTGCAAAACTTTTCTCCCATTCTGTAGGTTGCCTGTTCACTCTGATGGTAGTTTCTTTTGCTGTGCAGAAGCTCTTTAGTTTAATTAGATCCCATTTGTCAATTTTGGCTTTTGTTGCCATTGCTTTTGGGGTTTTAGACATGAAGTCCTTGCCCATGCCTATGTCCTGAGTGGTATTGCCTAGGTTTTCTTCTAGGGTTTTTATGGTTTTAGGTCTAACATTTAATCTTTAATCCATCTTGAATTAGGTTTTGTATAAGGTGTAAGGAAGGGATGCAATTTCAGCTTTCTGCATATGGCTAGCCAGTTTTCCAAGCACCATTTATTAAATAGGGGATCCTTTCCCCATTGCTTGTTTTTGTCAGGTTTGTCAAAGATCAGATAGTTGTAGATATGCAGCATTATTTCTGAGGGCTCTGTTCTGTTCCATTGGTCTATATCTCTGTTTTGGTACCAGTACCATGCTCTTTTGGTTACTGTAGCCTTGTAGTATATTGTGAAGTCAGGTAGTGTGATGCCTCCAGCTTTGTTCTTTTGGCTTAGGATTGACTTGGCAATGTGGGCTCTTTTTTGGTTCCATATGAACTTTAAAGTAGTTTTTTCCAATTCTGTGAAGAAAGTCATTGATAGCTTGATGGGGATGGCACTGAATCTATAAATTACCTTGTGCAGTATGGCCATTTTGAGGATATTGATTCTTCCTACCCATGAGCATGGAATGTGCTTCCCTTTGTTTGTATCCTCTTTCATTTCATTGAGCAGTGGTTTCTTGTTCTCTTTGAAGAGGTCCTTCACTTCCCTTTTAAGTTGGATTCCTAAGTATTTTATTCTCTTTGAAGCAATTGTGAATGGGAGTTCACTCATGATTTGGCTCTCTGTTTGTCTGTTATTGGTGTATAAGAATGCTTGTGAATTTTGTACATTGATTTTGTATCCTGAGACTTTGCTGAAGTTGCCTATCAGCTTAAGGAGATTTTGGGCTGAGACAATGGGGTTTTCTAGATATACAATCATGTCATCTGCAAACAGGGACAATTTGACTTCCTCTTTTCCTAATTGAATGTCCTTTATTTCCTTCTCCTGCCTGATTGCCCTGGCCAGAACTTCCAGCACTATGTTGAATAGGAGTGGTGAGAGAGGGCATCCCTGTCTTGTGCCAATTTTCAAGGGGAATGCTTCCAGTTTTTGCCCATTCAGTATGATATTGGCTGTGGGTTTGTCATAGATAGCTCTTATTATTTTGAGATACGTCCCATCAATACCTAATTTATTGAGAGTTTTTAGCATGAAGGGCTGTTGAATTTTGTCAAAGGCCTTTTCTGCATCTATTGAGATCATCATGTGGTTTTTGCCATTGGTTCTGTTTATGTAGTGGATTACGTCTGTTGATTTGCATATGTTGAACCAGCCTTGCATCCCAGGGATGAAGCCCACTTGATCATGGTGGATTAGCTTTTTGATGTGCTGCTGGATTCAGTTTGCCAGGATTTTATTGAGGATTTTTGCATCGATGTTCATCAGGGATATTGGTTTACAATTCTCTTTTTTTGTTGTGTCTCTGCCAGGATCAATTCAACAAGAAGAGCTAACTATCCTAAATATATATGCACCCAATACAGGAGCACCCAGATTCATAAAGCAAGTCTTTAGTGACCTACAAAGAGACTTAGACTCCCATACAATAATAATGGGAGACTTCAACACCCCACTGTCAATGTTAGACAGATCAACAAGACAGAAAATTAGCAAAGATATCCAGGAATTGAACTCGGCTCTGCACCAAGCGGACCTAATAAACGTTTACAGAACTCTCCACCTCAAATCAACAGAATATACATTCTTTTCAGAACCACACCACGCCTACTCCAAAATTGACCACATAGTTGGAAGTAAAGCACTCCTCAGCAAATGTAAAAGAACAGAAATTATAACAAACTGTCTCTCAGACCACAGTGCAATCATACTAGAATTCAGGATTAAGAAACTCACTCAAAACTGCTCAACTACATGGAAACTGAACAACCTGCTCCTGAATGACTACTGGGTACATAACAAAATGAAGGCAGAAATAAATATGTTCTTTGAAACCAATGAGAACAAAGACACAACATACCGGAATCTCTGGGGCACATTTAAAGCAGTGTGTAGAGGGAAATTTATAGCACTAAATGCCCACAAGAGAAAGCAGGAAAGATCTAAAATTGACACCATAACATCATAATTAAAAGAACTAGAGAAGCAAGAGTGAACACATTCGAAAGCTAGCAGAAGGCAAGAAATAACTAAGACCAGAGCAGAACTGAAGGAGATAGAGATACAAAAAACCCTTCAAAAATCAATGAATCCAGGACCTGTTTTTTTAGAAAAGATCAACAAAATTGATAGACCGCTAGCAAGACTAAAAAGAAGAAAAGAGAGAAGAATCAAATAGACACAGTAAAAAATGATAAAGGGGATATAACCACCGATCCCACAGAAATACAAACTACCATCAGAGAATACTATAAACACCTCTATGTAAACAAACTAGAAAATCTAGAAGAAATGGATAAATTCCTCGACACATACACTCTCCCAAGACTAAACCAGGAAGAAGTTGAATCTCTGAATAGACCAATAACTGGCTCTGAAATTGAAGCAATAATTAATAGCTTACCAACAAAAAAAAGTCCAGGACCAGATGGATTCACAGCCGAATTCTACCGGAGGTACAAAGAGGAGCTGGTACCATTCCTTCTGAAACTATTCCAATCAATAGAAAAAGAGGGAATCCTCCCTAACTCATTTTATGAGGCCAGCATCATCCTGATACCAAAGCCTGGCAGAGACCTCTGCCCTTCTTGCCAGCCATATAGTGGAGTCAGCATTGCAACCACAACGCAGATGCAAAGTCAATTCATACCCTCTCACACACAACTACACACCTCCAGCTCAAGAACTGATAGCAGACTATTGGACATCCAGGCTAATGTTCTCCTTTCAATGTCTTCCTTAGGGACCAATAGTGTAGGTTGGGGAATCTCTCCCACATTGATGGCCATTTTATTTTTATTTTTAAAATTTTTTTCCAACTTTATTAAGGTATAATTGGCAATTAAAAATCATATATAATTAAATATTTAGGCTGTATAACTTGATAATTCGATATACATATGCATTGGGAAATAATCAGCAGATTTGTGAATTTTGACATATATATATTCGCGTAAACACCACCACAATCATGGTACTTAGAACAGTCCTATCACTCCCCAAAACTCCCTCACGCTATGCCTTTATAGTCACATCACTATGGCAACCACTGATCTGTTCTCCAACACTATGGTTTTGGCTTTTCAAGAATGTAATATAGATAAAATCATACTGTAGGTAACCTTTGGATAGTGGCTTCTTTCACTCAGCGTAAACCTTTGAGATTCATAGAAGTTGTTGCATGAAATTCAAGTAGCCTGTTCCTTTTTATTGCTGACTAGTATTTTAATGCATGAGTCTACCACAGTTTGTTTATCCATTCAGACACTGCAGGAAATTTGGACTGAGTCCAATTTGGGCAATTATGAAGTAGCATTTCTACCAATATTGACATACAGGTTTTTCTGTGAACATAAGTTTCCATTTCTCTAGGGTAAAGGCCTAGGAGTTGGCTTCCTTGGTGAAATGGAAGTTGTGTGTTTAACTTTATAAGAACATGCCAAACTGTTTTCTGGAGTGGCTGAACTATTTTGCATCCTGCTAGAATTGTAGGAGAATTCCTATTGCTTCACATCCTTGTCAGGAATTGGTATGGTTGTTTTTTGAAATTATTGTAGCTATTCTTATAGATGTTCCCCATTTTTTGTTGTGTCACAGAACCATAGAATGGGTAGTTTACAGACAAAAAAAAAAAAAATCATGAAGTGTTTTAGTTCTAGAGCTTGGGAAGTCCAGTATCAAGGTACCAGAATCTGATGAGGGCTTCTTGCTGTGTCACCCTGTGCAGAAGGTGGAAGGGCAAAGGAACACACATGAAAGAGAGCAAGAAGGGGCCATACTCACTTTTTATAACTAACCCACTCCTGTAATAACAGAACTAATCCATTCATAAGGGCAGAGCCCAGGACACAAGCCTTTGTCACCCAGGCTTGTGTGCAGTGGTGCAATCATGGATCACTGCAGCTTTGACTTTCTGAGCTCAAGCAATTTCCCACCTCAGCCTCCTGAATAGCTGAAACCACAGGCACACACAATCATGCCTGGATAATTTCTTGATTTTTTTGTAGAGATGAGGTCTCATAATGTTTCCCAGGCTGCTGGGCTCAGGCAATTTGCCCACCTCAGCCTCCCAAAGGGCTGGAATTACAGGCATGAGCCACTGTGCCTGGCCATTTGCATTTTGTTCTTTTTTCTTCATAAGTTATTGGGGAGCAGGTGGGTTTGGTTACATGAGTAAGTTCTTTAGTGCTGATAAAGAACATGAATAGACAATTCACAAAAGATGATAATATACAAATAGTCAACAAACATATAAAAAAATGCTCAACATCACTAATGATCAGGGAAATGAAAATCAAAACTGCAATGTGATATCAACCTGCCGCTGAAAAAATGGCCATAGTAAAAAAAATTTAAAAATAGTAGAAGTTGGCATGGCTGAAGTGAACAGGCAACACTTCTACGTGTGTGAAGATTCCTTAAAGAATGAAAAGTAGAGCTACCATTTGATCCAGCAATCCCACTACTGGTATCTATACACTGGAAAAGAAGTCATTATATGAAAAAGATGCTTACACACACTTTTTTGTAGCAGTACAATTCACAATTGTAAAAATGTGGAACCAACCCAAATGCCCATCAACCAACGAATGAATAAAGAAACTATTTTATATATATATATATATATACACTCACACAATATATATATATAGTGTATATATATATACACACATATAAAGTATTCCATCAGTAATATAATATATCATATATATATAATAACTGCTCAGTCATAAAAAGGAATGAATTAATGGCATTTGCAGTGACCTGGATGAGATTGGAGACTATTATTCTAACAGAAATAACTCAAGAATGGAAAACCAAACATCGTATGTTCTTACTCATAGATGAGAGATAAACTATGAGGATACAAAGTCATAATAATAACACAATGGATTTGGGGACTCAAGGGAAAAGGGTGGGAAGGCAGTGAGAGAGAAAAAACTACAAATAGGTGCAGTGTATGCTTCCCAGGTGAGGGATGCACCAAAATCTCACAAATCACCATGAATGATGGTCATTTAAAATGAGCTTAAGAGTTACTTTTTGTCAGGCTAAGAGAGTGGAGAAAAATATTTATGGGTGGTGGGTTCAGGTGTATCACTGCATCCAATTTCACTGACTATTTTATCTTGATGTACCTGCTTTTTTTTCAGCCAATCTTGGCAGATTGAGGTACTGCAAAAATCATGAGCAGAAGACTTTATGCCATTGAATGCCATTGAGACGGTCAATGTAACAAAGGACAGCTGTTTGTTTTTCTTCTGCTTTTCATGGGCCAGTATCAACTAAAGATTGTCAGTTTTTAAGACCTTACTTAAGGATGCAATGATTAGTAAAGAAAATTCAACAATCTTATGTTTACCTGATAAATATCTTATGAGTGTATGCTCCAGGGTACAACAGGGGTGAAAGGTTAATTTGTCATTTTGTTTTCTTTTTTTCTTTTTTCTTTTTTTAATTGAGACAAGATCTTGTTGTGTTGCCCAGGCTGGTCTTGAACTCCTGGGCTCAAGAAATCCTCCTGCCTTGGCCTCCCAAAGTGCTAGGATTAAAAGCATAAGCCACCATTCAGACTAATTCTGCTCTCATGTAAGTGTACTATCAGACTCACAGTTTGAAATCTGTAGACTGGCACCGCCTTCTATCTACTTTAGCCAAGCCCAGGTATCAAATGTGGTCAATGGTATACTCTATATCCAGTAACCTCAAGAATTAGAATATTTTTAGTTAAAGGGACAAGTTTAAAAAGATGGCTGACTCACATATTACTTAAGGTCTGTAAGCCTAATGTCATTAAAAATATGTTTTTTGCTTCCTACTTTCATCTGTTTTAGCTTAATTTTCAGTCATTTGAAGATGTCTAACAATCCCTTATATACATCATTCCTACATCCTTGGGCATTGGTTTTGCTAGACACCATTATCCCAACACTGGCGACAAAAATGAATCTTAATGATAGAGTTGTATTGTGTGTTCAGACCAAAATATGTGTGTATGTATGTTGTGAAGATGTTACTACTTCATGAACCCCATGAATGAATTGAGAGTAAAGAAATGATGGCTCTCGAGAAGAAAATCAAATATCATTTGCAGAAAAATTGAGTGAAAACTTGGCTTTTTATAGTGGTGAATCCATTCTAAGAATTTAAAATGTGCTGTAAATAATGTAATGTAAAGAATGTAAGTAGTATACACTAAGATTGAGAATTAGTATGAGCAGTATAAAAAGATCATCCAAGTTCTCTTTCTAATTTCATTGATGGGTAGCATTAAAAGCTTCTTTATTATTTACTGATTCATGAATCGTAGAGATTGTGAAAAGTAAAGAAACAGCTCTAATTATTTCTAAGAATTGGTGATTTCGGTCTCTTAACGTACTTGTGAAACTTGAAGGCAACTCCTGGAGCAGCTCTCTATAAGTCAGTCAAGAGATTCTCAGGACTGTGGTGCAGGACACAGAATTGACAAATATCTAGATTTTGTTATGAAGCTAACATGATGTCCAGTCCATATTCTATAAATAAATTACTATTAGATTGAAGAATGAGATATTGTGGTAGATCAAATATCCAGGAATGAAATTATCATGTTATTATATTTAAATTTTTAACAAATAATTAGACTATAATAAAAGATACTTACAAATAATATATTCAGCATTAACTTGATAAATTACATGGGAATTTTTCATGCAAGCTGGATATTATTTCCAGTAAACTATTGATTACTACTTATATCTATATGTGACCTCTCTCACTAGTCCAGATATCTCTTGAAAAGCCACTCAGAAGTTTCAAGATATTTACAAATAAATATAATTTATATTTGTTTGATTTTATTTTTGAATATGTGCTCTCCTGCTGTAAGTAACAGCAAGCTGTCAAAGTTCATTTTTAAAAGAATGCAGTGGCTCTAAAGGTATATCCAAAATTTATTGAACGTTGGAGTCATTATCATGAAGTTCAGTTTTTTCTACAATACAGTAGTATAGAGATGCCAGTTAATAGATAATTTATGTGATGAAATGTGAATAAAATTGTTTCATCTCACTAAAATTGCACACCATTTTCTTTAATTGTGTATGCAACAGTATCTTTCCTTAAACTCCTGAATTTCATAGTATAATATTAGATGTTGTTAAGACAGCAAAATAAGTTTTTAAATTACTCCACGTAAAACAAGCAAACTAAAATATTCCAAAGGCAGATACAGTAATGTAATGGTTTTCATTGAAAGAAATAAAAATCTCCAAAACTTTTGTTCTTCAAATTTCTCCCCTACATTAGGTATGCAGATTCCACACACATAATATCTGTAACAGAATGTTAACTTATTGAATATTATGATTTGCTTCCCAGGGCAATATATATTTGGATGGCTACATTTCAATTTTGTGAGAACTATCATTTACTATCCCTGATTAGACTCATCAGTCATTCCTTTTTTATGCGAGAAACAATTTAGCTTTTCCATCCCCAAGACTTCAGTGCCTTCACAGCAAAGGACCACATGGTTATCTTTAAATTGCACACTTGGCTCTAGTAGCCTTAAGTCTCTCCTATCTCACACCATAGCTTCATCATTTGCATTATTTTACTAACCTCTTTCATCTTTAGTCTTTTTAAATTAAAGATTCAGTTATACAAACAGTCTTGACTTTATGCCTATGTTCATTGTGTGACATAATTTTCAAAGAATGATTTTACTTCAAATCAGGAAAATTTGCTTTTTGAGGTGTTTAAGAATTATCCTATAAGGCCGGTTGGAAAACGATTTCTGTAAAAGGTGAGATAGTAAATATTTAAAGCTTTTCTTCTGTCACAATTATTCAAATTTTCCATTGTAGGGCAAAAGCAATCATAGAGAACAGACAAATTAGTATGGATGTATTTCAATATAAGTTGATATATGGAAACTGAAATTCTCACTTCATACAATTATCAAAAAATATTATTTATTTCATTTATTTTCAATCTTTAAAAGTATAAACCTGTTAGCTTGCAGGTCATATCAAAAATAAGAGGTGAACAAGATTTAGCACACAAGCTGTGGTGTGCAATTCTTGTGCTAAGACAAAGGAAGCCGTCTATATATAGCTTAATTTAAATTTAATTTAATTTAATTTAAAATAGTTTTAAATTATATAAAATACAAAATTAAAGCATTATAACATATTACATATATAATAACATTATAGAATAACTTAAAATTAAAAATAAAATTACTCTTTCTATATTCCCTGAAATAGATGGTGTCACTTTATTTGTTGTTTATTTAAAAAATCCAATGTACATGCACACATATTCGTTTTAAAATTATAGTACAAATAGTATTGTAATCAGAAGCAGCAAATCAAACACGATGTCTCATCATTGAATCTCCTTTTACTATTCTTGTTATTCATTGTTCTGTCTTAGAAGAAATATTATTGTGATATGGGAAATACAAAAAACATTTTCTAATTATCTTTTTTTTTTTTATCATTTTTAACTACCTTTTGAGAGCTGAACTTGGCATAGTCTTTCAAAGTATCCAGTTCAAACATTCTCATTTTCAGTACTTCAGATAATCATGTACGTCAAAATAACATGATTACATTATTTTTTATTTATCAACTTTCCAGTGCTCTATATTCAACCTCTCATCAAAGTATCATCTTTTCATTTATTTCATTAAATAAAGGTTGAAACTTCTTTGTGATATTTTAAAATTTTTAGTTCATATTCTATTAAATATGAACAATTCTTATCTTCATAGCCAACATGTTTTTATGACAATCATAGATGCTCTACTATATAAAACAAAAAGTATAGTGTCAAAGTAGGATATGTGTTTTATTTATTATTATTACCAAATTGCTGAGTTAGCAATTATTTTAATGTTTATCATTTCTGCTAAGATTATAATATAGAAGAATTAAATAGAAGATGTCATAGTTAATAAACCAAATATCAGTGCTTTATTTCTGTGCAACTTTTCATGTTCTAGGCTGCTACATAACATAAATCCTTTATAGTGGCAGCAGACAGGCTTGGGCTTTTGGTATGCCATGTGTATGCTGCTGATATATATTTATGGCTTAACTTCTCCAGTGTATCACTCAATGAATCATTGGCCTGCAAAGGCCATCCTGGAATCAACCTCTTGTTCTAATCTGGATGCTTTGCTATCTATGATTGAAGCACAACTGCAACCTTGGAATTTCTCTAATCTGCTATCATTTGTTACGGCTACTGTTTTATGAACCTCATATCTTCTTGTTTTAATTTATTTCATTGATTTGTTAGAAAGCATCTTCTAGTAGCTTCCTATGAAAATATGCTTAAGAGGTAGATTTTTCTGAATCATATCCTGTCTTTATTTTGCATTTACCTTTGGAGTGTGTAACTAGACATAAATGGTACACTAAAAATCACTTTCCCAGTGTATTAGACCATTTTCGTGCTGCTGATAAAGACATATACAAGACTGACAATTTACGAAAGAAAGAAGTTTAATTGGACTTACAGTTCCACATTGTTGGGGAAGCCTCACAATCATAGCGGGAGGCAAAGAGGAGCAAGTCTCATCTTACATGGATGGCACCAGGCAAAGACAGAATGAGGAAGATGCAAAAGCAGAAACCCCGGATAAAACCATCACATCTTGTAAGACTTATTCACTAACAAGAAAACAGTATGGGGAAGCCATCCTAATGATTCAAATTATCTCCGCTGGGTTTGCCCACAACACATGGGAATTATGGGAGTAAAATTCAAGATGAGATTTGGGTGGGGACACAGAGCCAAACCATATCATTCCACCTCAGACCCCTCCAAATCTAATGCCCTCACATTTTAAAACCAATCATGCCTTCCCAACAGCTCCCCAAGGTCTTATCTCATTTCAGCATTAACCCCCAAATCCACAGTCCAAAGTCTCATCTGAGACAAGGCAAGTCCCTTCCATCTATCAGCCTGTAAAACCAAAAGCAAGTTCGTTACTTCCTTGATACAATGGGGGTATAGGCATTGGGTGAATACAGCTTTTCCAAATGGGGAAAAATGGCCAAAACAAAGGGGCTACCAGCCCTATGCAAGTCTGAAATCCAGCAGGGCAGTCAAATCTTAAAGCTCCAAACTGATCTCCTTTGATGCCATGTCTCGCATCTGGGTCATGCTGATGCGAGAGGTGGGTTCCCATGGTCTTGGGCAGCTCCCACCACTGTGGCTCTGTAGGGTACAGCCTCCCTCCTGGCTGCTTTCAGGGTCTGGTGTTGACTATCTGTGGCTTTTCCAGGCACATGATGCAAGCTGTTGGTGGATCTATCTTTCTGGGGTCTAGCGGATGGATGGTGGCTCTTTTCTCACAGCTCCACTAGGCAGTGCCCTAGAAGGGACTCTGTATGGGGCTCCAACCCCATGTTTTCTTTCCACACTGCCCTAGCAGAGGTTATCCATGAGAGCCCCATCCCTGCAGCAAACTTCTTCCTGGGCATCCAGGCATTTCTATACATACTCTGAAACCTAGGCAGAGGTTCCCAAACCCCAGTTCTTGACTTCTGTGCATTCACAGGCTCAATACCAGTTGGCAGCTGCTAAAGCATGGGACTTGCATCCTCTGAAGACATGTCCGAGCTCTACATTGACCCTTTTTCATCATGGAAAGAGTGGCTGGGACACAGGGCATCAAGTCCCTTGGCTGCCCACAGCACAGGGGCCCTGGACACAGCCCATGAAACCATGTTTTCCTTCCAGGCCTCCGGGCCTGTGATGGGAGGGGCTGTCATGAAGACCTCTGACATGCCCTCAAGACATTTTCCCCATTGTCTTGGGGATTAACATTCAGCTCTTTGTTACTTATGCAAATTTCTGCAGCAGGCTTGGATTTCTCCTCAGAAAATGAAATTTTCTTTTCTATTGCACTGTCAGGCTGCAAATTTTCTGAACTTTTATGCCGTTTTCCTTATTAAACTGAATGCCTTTAACAGCACCCAATTCACCTCTTGAATGGTTTGGTGCTTAGAAATTTCTTCCAGCAGATACCCTAAATCAGCTTTTTGAAGTTCTAAGTTTCACATATCTCTAGGGCAGGGGCAAAATGCCACCAGTCTCTTTGCTAAAACATAACAAGAGTCATCTTTCCTTCAGTTCCCAAAAAGTTCCCCATCTCCATCTGAGACCACCTCAGCCTGGACCTTATTGTTCATATCACTATCAGCATTTTTGTCAAAGCCATTTAACAAGTCTCTATGAAGTTCCAAACTTTCCCACATTTTCCTGTCTTCTTCTGAGCCCTCCAAACTGTTTCAACCTCTGTCTGTTACTCAGTTCCAAAGTAACTTCCACATTTTGGGGTATTTTTTCAGCCATGCCCCATTCTACTGGTACCAATTTACTCTATTATTCCATTTTCATGCTGCTGATAAAGACAAACTTGAGACTGGGTAACTTACAGAAAAAAGAGGTTTAATTTGACTCACAGTTCCATGTTGCTGGGGAAGCCTCACAATCATGGTGGAATGCAAGGAGAAAGTCCCATCTTACATGGATAGCAGCAGGCAAAGAGAGAATGAGGAAAACGTCAAAGCAGAAACCCCTTTTAAAACAATCAGATCTCATTAAACTTATTCACTACTAAGAGCACAGTATAGGGAAAACCACCCTATGATTCAGATTATCTCCTACTGGGTCCCTCTCACAACAAGCAGAAATTATGGGAGTGTAAATCAAGATGAGATTTGGGTGGGGACACAGAGCCAAACCATATCATCCAGCATGCTCCCTTTGTGTTCTGTTTTCTAGAGTGGGTCTTTTTTTTCTGTAAGACACATATTCTTCAGTCTTTGGGAAGTTTTATTATACTATTTTTGATATATTAATCTTCTCCTTCTTATTCATTGTTCTGTCTTTGAAGAAATATTATTGTGATCTGAGAACTCCACAAAATCATTTTCTAATTGTCATATTTTCTTTTTGTCATTTTTACTACCTTTTAAGAGCTTAACTTGGCATAATCTTTCAAATCTTCTATTGAAAAATTTCAAATTGTAGATATTAGTTTTCTTTCTTAAGAGCATCTTTTCATTTTGTATTTGTTTTGTTTGTTTTGTTTTGTCTTGTTTTGTTTTTTGCAGAATACTGAATCTATTGTTAAATTCATGGTGCACATCTTTCCTTCGTCATCCTTAGAATCTAGTTTTATTTCAAAATTAGATCTCTTGTTCTTTCAAAACACATTGTTACCTCTGAATTCTTTTATTCCTCATTTTGTAGATTGTCATGTTTGGATATTTGCTCTCATAACTTCTGATTCTTGATTATCTGTTTCTACTAAAAAGAGGAAAGTACTAAACCAACGAGAAATTTTTGGCTGTGCATAGGGACAGTCAGCTTGTAGGATTCACTGCATTACAACTGCTGCAGAGTAAACTACTTTAATGAGGTATCCCCCAGATTTTAGTAGATGGAAGTCTTTCCTCTATGCTCTTTGCTTTCTTCTTATAAGATCCATTTGATAAGTTGCTTTAGAAAGAGCTACCTTAGTGTCTGTGTTCCGCATAAGGTGGAGAAATCTAATTATTCAATACATTTTCTTTTAAATTGGTGTTTAATGTGCATGCAATAAAGTACATGAATATTTACCATATGGCTCAATTAATTTTATGTATCAATATTATTTACTGTCACCATATACATTAGGAGAGATTAGTATCCAAGAAAGCTGTAGCACATCACCCTGTAGACAATATGTCACTTAAATTAACCACTTACCTGACCTCTACAACCATAGATCAATTATTTCTATATTTGAATGTAGTACAAATACAATCTTACAGTATATTGTCTTTTATGTCTGTCTTCTCTCATTCAGCATTATTTCTGCGAAATTCATCCATGCTGTTGTTTCACCAGTGGTCTATTCTTTTTCACTGATATGTAGTATGACATTGTGTAAATGTACAAAAACATATTTTATTTCTGTGGGTTGTTTCCAGGTTGGAATTTTATGAATAAAACTGGTATAAAACTTTGTTGCTCTTGTCTGTATGTTTGTATTTTGGTCGACATGTAGTTTCATGTCTTTTGGCTATATAGCTAGGATAAAAATTTTGTGTCACAGTGTAAGTACACATTTTATTAGAGTCTGATAAAGAGTTTTCTAGGGTGGCTGTAACAATTTATACCCACAAAAAATCTATGAGAGTTTCAGTAGTTTCAGTAAGTACCTTTTGGTTGATCTAATTTGAACCTGAAACACAGTATTTTGTCTAGTGTTAGTTTTTTGTTTAGTATGTCCAGTATTGCCATTATTCCTAGGATGCAGATTGGAAGACTCAATATTGCTAAGTTGTCAATTCTTCTCCAATTCATATATAAATCCAATGGGGTCTCAAATATTATTCCAGAATTCTTTTCATTACTGATGTTGAAATTTCCAAGCTGATGATACAATTTATGTGGAAAATAAATGGGGCTTTAGAATATCCAAATTTATTTTGAAAAAAAGAAAAAGTTCCTAAGGCTCACCGCCTTACTCCAAAACTTATTAAAAAGACCCAAGAATAGACTTAATATGACTAAATAACATTGTCAAAGTTATTAAGACAACCCAAGTTAAAGCCATAACATATTTAATAGACAATATAGCAAAATATTTCCATGAAGGCAACCCTTTTGTAGACAGGTAACAGAAAGCAGTGAATATAAAGAAAAATATGATAAAATGGAATTGAACAAAATTAAAAATTTCTACTCATCAGAAGATGCAGACACAGTTAGAAAAATAAATACATACATGCCGGAAAATATTAATATAATATATATCTGATAAGGGACAACCATAGATCAATTCTTTCTATATTTGAATGTAATACAAATATTGTATTTGTATTAAGAACCCATGCAATTCAGTTATGAAAGGCAAGGAAAGTCAGAATAATTCAGAAGAAGTAGTTGGAAAAATGGAACTACTTACTCTAAGTGGTTAGAGAAATGGAAAGTTGTTAATCATCTAACAAGGAGGAAAAAGAAAAGTTTATTTTAGGCTAAACACTTAAATAGTTAAAAGCAAATCTGAGACTAATGATTTTTGATAAAAATTTACCCTATCATTTAAGTAAAAGAAGATTTCTCAACGTATGTTTATATTTTATGATTTTGGCATTTACTTTAGATTTGGGGGTATATTTGCAGGTTTGTTACATGGATATATTACATGATGCTGAGGTTCGAGATATGAATGATCCCATCATCCAGATAATGAACCTGGTACCCAGCATTAGTTTTTCAGTCTTTGCCCCTCTTTCTGCCTCCCTGCTCTAAAAGTCCCCAGTGTCTATTGTTGCAAACTTTATATCCATGGGTACGCAAAATTTATCTCCCACTTGTAAGTTATAACATACAGTATTTTGTTTCCTGTTCTTGTGTTAATTCACTTAAGATAATGGCCTCCATCTGCTTCCATGTTGCTACATGAAGTACAGGATTTTGTACTTTCTTATGGCTACATAGTATTCCATGGTGTATATGTACCACATTTTCTTTATCCAGTTCACCACTGATGGACACCTAGGTTGGTTCCATATATTTGCTATTGTGGATAGTGCTACAATGAACATATGAATGCATGTGGCTATTTTGTAGAATAATTTATTTTCTTTCAGAAATACACCTACTAATGGGATTGCTGGGTGAAATGGTAGTTCTGTTTTAAGTTCTGTGAGAAATCTCCAAATTGCTTTCCACAATGGCTGAAATAGTATACATTTCCACCTATATTGCATAAGTGTTCCCTTTTCTATGAAGTCTCACCACTACCTGCTGGTTTTCGACTTTTTAAAAATAGCAGTTCTGACTGGTGTGAGATGGTATCTCATTGTGGTTTTGATTTGCACTTCTCTGGTTATTAGTGATGTTTAATATTTTTTCATATGTTTGTTGGCTGCTTCTATGTCTCCTTTTGAGAAGTGTCTGTTTATGTCTTTTGCTCACTTTTTAATGGCGTTATTTGTTTTTTGCTTGTTAATTGTTTAAGTTCTTTGTAGATTCTGGATATTAGATCTTTGTTGGATGCATAGTTTGTGAATGTTTTCTCTCATCCTCCAGGTTGTCTGTTTAGTCTGTTGATAGCTTCTTTTGCTGTGCAAAAACTCTTTAGTTTAATGAAATCCCTCTTGTCAAATTATTTGTTGCAATTGCTTTTAAGGTCTTAGTCATAAATTCTTTGCCAAGGCTTACATGTAGCATGGTATTTCCTAGGTTTTCTTCTAGAATTCTTATAGTTTGATATTTTATATTTAAATATTCAATCCATCTTGAGTTAATGTTTGTATATAGTGAAAGGTATAGGTCCAGAGTCATTCTTCCTCATACAGCTAGCCAACTATCCCACTACATCTATTGAATAGCAAGTCCTTTCTCCATTAGTTATTTTTGTGAACGTTATTGAAGATCAGATGGCTATGGATGTGCAGCTTTATCTCTGGGTTCTCTGTTAAATAAGATTTTTGAAATTTGTAGGGCTTGATTATTTTTCAAATAGTTTTCTCCGCATACTAATTATGAAGGAATTAGAATATGATGAAATCTATAAGAAATGTTATATTTTTAAATAATCTGGGCAAATTTTGCTGTATTTGAAAGTTTAGTGAGAAAATTGGGAATCTACTGATATAGAGATTCTAAACTAGGTATAGAAAATCCAAATGTCTGTTGTGGCTACACTGAAAACATAATTATAAAACATTGTCAGAGTACTACATAAAGAAGTGGTAGTCTGTAGGTAGAGTAAAATGTAATCCCAGTTTAGAGGTATTAAAAGTATTCTTTGTAAACATTGATGAGAATTAAACATTTGGCCAACTTTCCAAAAGCTTTCCTACATTAGCACATATTGCATAGTTACTAGATGCATTAGTCAGGGTTCTTTAGAGAAGCATAACTAATAGGATAAATAAAGGAGAGTTTATTAAGGATTATTGACTCACACAATCACAAGGTCAGGTCCCACAATAGGCCACCTGCAAGCTGAGGAGAAAGGAAGCCAGTCTGAGTCCCAAAGCTGAAGAACTTGGAGTCCCATGTTAGAGGGCAGGAAGCATCCAACATGCAAGAAAGGTGTAGGCCAGAAGACAAAACCAGACTAATCTTTCCACATTCTTCTGTCTGCTTTTATTCTGGCCCCACTGGCAGCTGATTAGATTGTGCCCACCCAGAATAAGGGTGTGTTTGCCTTTCCCAGCCAGCTGACTCAAATGTTAATCTCCTTTGGCAACATCCTCACAGACACACCTAGGAACAATACTTTGCATCCTTCCATCTAATCAAGTTTATACTCAATATTAACCTTCACACTAGATTTTTAGCTGCCAAAATTCTAACTCAAACTTTTGGTTCTATTGTATTGAAATACTTCCAAAATCAACTATGTTATATTATTTCTCTACTAGAATATAAGTTTAGGAAGCAAGTGCATATATATATGTGCATGTATATATATACATACACACACGCACACACACACACAAAATGAGGTTTTATGTGTTTCCCAAAGTATCAGAAAAAAAAAACAAGAAATGTTGCTGATTATAAGCACATCATCATGACATATAACGAAAACACAAAGGGAGATTCCAAGAGTAGTTCTGTTCCAGAAGCTACATACCTGTGCCTATAACCTGTATTACATGTAAATTTTCAGAAATATTCATGTTTTTAATTAAACTTCAGAATATCTCTTTATGTAAAACACTTTAACTTGCTATTAAAGTGCAAATATTTTTAAATATCCGTGGACTATCATGAAATAACACATCGATTTTGAAAATACTTTTTCAACTTAACAAATTAAGAATGTTAATCCTAAGAACATTTTCTAGGAAATTAATATGACCAATAAGAGTTTCAGAGTAAAGTTTCTGCACCAATAATAAAATAAAGTATAATAATAGTTTTAAAGTTTACAGAATATAAATAAATCTAAAGGATAAAATAGCATTTTAAAAGTGAACTTAGGTAGATAGGCATATTTTTTCTTACAGACAAACCCCAAAAAGTGTCACTATCATCATCAATAAGAAACCTATAAAATAAGATAGAACAGTATTCAAAATATGTAAAATGTGAACATATTTTATCAAACAATATAAATTAAAATACATGTAAAAATTCAAAACAATATTTATGTTTCAAATATGTATTTTTCTTCTAAAGACAAAATTTATCTTTACAATTAAAAGAAAACTTGCAAATAAATTATAGTACTTGAATGTCAAATGTCTAAATCAAAATTATTTAAATAAAATTATTTTAGAAAAGTAAAAAATACTTATGTAGTACTTGGGTAAATTATAAATAAAGTTTAATAGTAGAAAACTCTTGTATGTTATGATGCTCAACTCATTATTTTTATTGCTTTCATTTTTTTAATAAAGATGAAAGACTCAAAGAAAAGCCACTGAGAAGGCTTAATGAAAATATGCTAACTTTACTTCAAACTAAAAATGTTCAAACATACAAATAAAACTTACACCCCTCTATTCCAAAACAGAATCGTTTAGCAACAGTATTTCTGTTAATGATGTCAACATTCTCTGTTATCAGACTCAAAAAAAATTTTTTTGAATTTTCTTTCTGTCTAACATGCTGTTTGTAGCTATGAGATTTAGATTTATTAAATAATCTAAGGCATTTCCCTGAAAATCTCTGTGTTTCAGTGTTCTGACAATTTACATGATAAAAATCATGTTTGTGTTGAAATTCTATGCATTACCAAATTAGTAAATGTTTTTAACTATTACATGATGTCAGGTATTGTTATTCTCACAGGAAACAGACACTGTATTTTCTTACCTTAAGGGAAATGTAATGACTTAGGACAATGTTAGCTAGAAAGTTTTCCTTTCAGCTCGTAGCCTGATTGTTTAGTTCTTAATATCACATTTCCCTGTAGAGAGCTTGAATGTTTTATGATGCATAAAGAAAATATTATTCCAAATGTTTTATGTATTATTACAAGTTTTAGGTTTATTGTGATATTGGGAGAAGTAGCACAATTCAGAATTAATATGGTTGTCGTTTTGAAAACCATAGAATGTAATTCGAAAACTATAATATTTACTGTACAAAGTCTAACGGTAATTAGAAAAAAACAACTGAAAAAGATGAATATTTCTTGCTTAAAAATAGGATCTAGAATTTACTCATGACTTAGTATATATTAGGAACTGGGCTAAATGCTGTATTAGCCACATTATCTGTGTAAAGTTCTATTATCACCTTCGCTTTACAGATAAATTGATATATTGAGACCAAAAGTAACTGGCTCAAAATCATACAGATAAAAAAAGTTGAAAATAGGGTAAAATTTCAATATTGGTGATGATAAACCTAACACTTTTAAATATTACACCTAGTATTTTTAGAAGTGTGGTCTCTGAACCACCAATATCATAACTGACTGGAGTGCTTGTTAAAAATGCCTATTTCTGGTCCCACACAAAATTTTAACTAAACTTACATATTGAGGGAGAAAGCCAGGGAATCAGTATTTTAGAGGTTATCTTAAGATTGTACAAATTTGAGAGTGAGATTAGTATACTACACTCTGTAAATTAGCACATCATATGTATGAAAACCTCATATGTGAAATATAATATATATTCTGTGACAAGAAGATATATTCAAATCTTAGTGTTATGTAAAAGTAGGATAGTTTGATCTTCTACTTTTAGGTAACTTAATTAGGTTAAAGCATCTAAGTAGAGAAGATGTAATCTAGAGTATAGTTTATCTTTTTACAAACTTCATATTGTTTCCTTAGAAAGAAAAATAAATATAAAACAAATGATCATACACCAAATACAATTTAAATAGGTAATAGATATATGATAGATGATAGATAGATAGATTAGATAGATAGATAGATAGATAGATAGATAGAACTAAAATAAAAGAGGAAATAAGGCAATGCAATGTCAATCTAATGGGTATAAAGAAGTAATTTTATAGTGGAGAAATTTGACAAATGCTACCTCAATCAAGGTCAACTTCTACAATAAGTCATGCTTAGTATGATCTTATGGAAATGAAACTTTACCTCTGTAGACTTCTTACCCAAACCTATCACACAAATGCAATCAAAACACAAATATCAGACAAATACCAACAAAGGAACATTACATAAAATTTCTGGCCAGTGCTACTAGAAATTGTCTAGTCATCAAAAAGAAAAGGAAAGGAAGAAAACGAGATATGAAAGGAAAAAGGAAAGGAGAGGAGAGGAGAGGGGAAGGGAGGAGAGGAAAGGAAAGGGAAAAAGAAAGAGGAAAGGAAAAAGGAAAGGGCAAAGGAAAAACAAAAGGAAAAAGAAAAGGAAAGGAGATAAAGAAGAAAGAAAATGAAAGAAGGAAGGAAGGAAAGAAAGAAAGAAAGAATAAAGAGAAAGAACGAAAGAGAGGAAGAGAAAAAGAAAAAAGAAAAGAGAAAGGAAGGAGAGAAGGAAGAAAGGAAGAAAGGAAGGAAGGAAGGAGAAGGGGAAGGGGAAGGGAAAGGGGAAGGGGAAGGGGAAGGGGAAGGCGAAGGGGAAGGGGGGAAAGAGACAGAGAGAAAGGAAGAAGCCTTTAGAAATTACCAGGAGACATGACACCTAAATATACTGTGTTTTCCTGGATAGGATCCTGAAACCCAAAAGTGGCATTAGGTACAAACTAAGAAAATATAAACAAAATTGACTTTAGTTAATAATAATATATCGAAATTGGTTCATTAATTCCAGCACATGTATCATACTGATGTAAAACTGATAGTAAAAATACTTGGAGATAATCTAGAAATTTTATTTTCACTTCTCAGATTAAAATTGTGAATTCCGTTGAGGTTATGTGACATTTCTAAAGTCTTATAGTTAGTTATTAGCAAAACTGTGTGGAATCCAGGCTTCTAGCTATGTTGTTCACTAAAATAGGAGGTTATTTGTAGCCCATACATAATCTGGTAAGTATCTTGTGTATCTATAAACGTTTTAGCTTCATGTTTAAGTTAACCAATAAAAGAAAATGTGCTAAAAGTAAAACAGAAATTTATGTGTGCCCTTCCTGCAAATGATCTGACAGAGAACAGAAAATAACCGTGGGCAGGCCAGGAGATCAGAAATTCCCCCTAACTTTATTTAGGGAGTGAAAGAAAAAAGGAAACATAGTGAAATTTCAGCAGAAAAGGTAAAATAAGCTAATCATTAAAATAGAATAAGATTAATCATTTATTTAAACAGTAAAACAAATACGGGATATAATAAATCAGTTTATATTTATTGAGCTATATTGAAGATATTGCAGGAATTTGTCTTTTAGCTTAAAAATGTGAACAGAAACAATGCTTTTAAAAATACTACATAAACTTCAAGCAACTTTTATCCTCCAAGCAACTTAAATAATTTAGCATCAATGTCAGCAAACCACCAGACACTCACGAATGCATTTTGCTCCTGAGGACTGCTCTGTTCAATGTAGAAATTTAAAGCAATAGAACCAGAGAGAGTAATATAAAAATTGACTTATGAAAAATGAAGATTATCATAAGAATAACTCAGTAAGTAATGCACTCAGGAACACATAGAAATCTTAATGGACAAGTAGAACATTTTGTAAAACTTGAATAAATTACTGCTTGGGTCAAACATAAATCAGGTGGGATTAAGGAAAAGGCATACTAGACATGGTTTAATTACTGAGAAGAAAGAAAATCCTACACTTGAACTTTTACATTCCTCATAACTTTCCCATAAACTTGAGATACATTCTCCAACAAACACAAAATGTAAAAGTTGAAAATGTGTATGCATTCTCCCATTTATCTCAGCTTGTCAGTATAGATTACAAAATATAATCAAATGTTTCTGAGTTTATTGCAAACATCTATGAAATTCTGCTGTTCATGGCCTCCTCACAGTTATTTTCTGATCTCTGTCAGATCATTTACAGAAGGTATGTATACACATTTCTCCTTGGTGTTTTTTAACCCAAGCCTATCATCTAACAGAAAACGCACGTTGGTCATACATTTTTTTTTCCTCTCCTTTTGCCATCATGAGGAGTTCTACTGATACTCACATAGTCCAGTTCTCTATCAGATAAATACCTCTTTTCCCATTTAGCCAGATAGAATCAGATACATTTTTTGAGTTTTCAATTCCTTGGTACCATAGTTACAACACGAACTATAAAATGTATGGTTTTGGAACAAAAGGGTCTACAAGCAATATCATTTAATATAAAGAAAATAATGAAGGAAGAGTTGAATCAACAATAAAATATTAGTGTAAACAATATATGATTCAGATCATAAGTATTATCCAAAGTATTATACTAAAGAAAATTAACCAATAACAACATTTTAGATATATAACATGTTTTCAAATATTAAAAATACTTTAACATAATTTAATGTAATGAATCACATGCTGCCAGGTATGTGAAATGAACCCATGAATACAATGGATTCTTTTACATTGAAGCAATTATTTCTAAGAATGTTTGTTCCATGTATTCAAAATTAAAGCACAAATATAATAATGTTTTAATGTCTATAAAGAATTGCAAAATTTTTGAGACTGTTCAGTTTACAGGAGAAAGTTGATTTAGTTAATAGCTTATAGCATCTTGTTTTCTAATAAGTAATGATGGAAACATATACGTTTATTTTAACATATAACAGACCAATGCTCCAATGAGTGGTAGACATTTCTAATATATTAATAATATTATCTGTTCACATCTTTGAGGCACATGTGTAACTGCATGTTTTAGTTTCACACAGCTGAAAGTGGCAATGTGACTAATGAAAGCCAGTATTTTGTGATCAGAAGTAATACATATTGCTTCTTAGCCAAAGCATGTAATTGCCAGTTTGGGAGCCTCTGGAATTCTGTAACCTTTTCAATGTTGCAGGAAGTCAGGGTCCCCAAACTGAGGGTCCGGGTGAAGCCATGGCAGAAGAACATAAATTGTGAAGATTTCATGGATATTTATTAGTTTCCCAAATTAATACTTTTATAATTTCTTACGTCTGTCTTCACTGCAATCTCTGAACATAAATTGTGAAGATTTCATGGACACTTATCACTTCCCCAATCAATACCCTGGTGATTTCCTATGCTTGTCTTTACTTTAATCTCTTAATCCCATCATCTTCCTAAACTGAGGAGGATGTATGTCACCTCAGGACCCTGTGATGATTGCGTTAACTGCACAAATTGTTTGTAGAGCATATGTGTTTGAACAATATGAAATCTGGGCACATTGAAAAAAGAACAGGTTAACAGCAATGTTCAGGGGACAAGAGAGATAACCTTAAACTCTGACTGCCAGTGAGCCGGATGGAACAGAGCCATATTTCTCCTCTTTCAAAAGCAAATGGGAGAAATATCACTGAATTATTTTTCTCAGCAGGAACATCCCTGAGAAAGAGAATGCATCCCTGAGGGTAGGCCTCTGAAATGGCCACTGCAGGGGTGGTCATCTTTTACGGTTGCAGCTGTAGGGATGAAATAAACCATGGTCTCCTGTAGTGCTCCCAGGCTTATTAGGATGAGGAAATTCCCGCCTAATAAATTTTGGTCAGACCAGTTGTCTGCTCTCAAACCCTGTCTCCTGATAAGATGTTATCAATGACAATGCATGCCCAAAACTTCATTAGCAATTTTAATTTTGCCCTGGTCCTGTGGTCCTGTGATCTGGTCCTGCCTCCATTTGCCTTGTGATATCTTATTACCTTGTGAAACATGTGATCTCTGTGACCCACACCCTATTCGTACACTCCCTCCCCTTTTGAAAATCACTAATAAAAACTTGCTGGTTTTATGGCTCAGGGGGCATCACAGAACCTGCCGACATGTGATGTCTCCCCTGGACACCCAGTTTTAAAATTTCTCTCTTTTGTACTCTTTCCCTTTATTTCTCAGACAGGTTGACACTTAGGGAAAATAGAAAAGAACCTACTTGACTATCGGGGGCAGGTTCCCCCAATATTTCAATATGATGCAGTGATAAGATAATGAATGCTTTCTTGGCCTCCATAATTCCTTTATGGAAAACAAGTGTCTAATGATTTGACTAAAATGTTATAAACAAGAACTAGTAATGTTCTATATCAGTAAGATTGTTGTATTATTGAATATCAAGCTATGTCATATCTATCCTGACAAATAAAATTGACAAATAATAATTCAACTAATATGTTATTTAGTCAACTTTATTGATACAGTTAGGCTGTGTTCCCACTCAAATCTCATCTTGAATTGTAGTTCCCATAATCCCCATGTGCTGTGGAAGGGACCCAGTAGGAGGTCATTGAATCATGGGGGAGGTTACCTCCATGCTGTTCTCATGACAGTGAGTTTTCCTGAGATCTGACGGTTTTATGAGGAGCTCCCCGACCCCCAAATCACTCTGCACTTCTCCTTCTTGCCATTGTGTGAAGAAGGGCATGTGTGCTTCCCTTTCCACCATGATTGTAAGTTTCCTGAGACATCCCCAGTCCTGTGGAACTGTGAAACAATTAAGCCTGTTTCCTTTATAAATTATCCAGTCTCAGAGAGTTCTTTATGGTAAAGTGAGAACAGACTAATACAGTAAATTCATGCCACAGAGAGTGGGGTGCTGTTACAAGGCTGCCCAAAAATATGGAAGCAACTTTGAAACAGAGGCTGAAAGAGTTTGAAGGGCTCAGAAGAAAACAGAAAGATATGGGAAAGTTCGGAACTCCTTAGAGACTTGTTGAATGGCTTTGACCAAAATGTTGATACTGATATGGACAATGAAGTCCAGGCTGAGGTCGTCTCAGACAAAGATGGGGAACTTGTTCGGAACTGGAGTAAAGGTTACCCTTGCTTTGCTTTAGCAAAAAGCCTGACAGCATTTTGCCCCTACCTTAGAGACCTGTGGAACTTTGAACTTGAGAGAGATAATTTTGGATATCTAGCAGAAGAAATTTCTAAGCAGAAAAGCATTCAAGAAATGACAGAGCATAAAAATTTGGAAAATATGCAGTCTGATAATGCAGTAGAAAAGGAAAACCCATTTTCTGGGGAGAAATTCAAGCCTGCTATAGAAATTTGCATAAGTGATGAGGACCAGAATGTTAATTACCAAGACAATAAGGAAAATGTCTTCAGGACATGACAGAGACCTTTGTGGCAGCCCCTACCATCACTGGCCCAGAGCCCTAGGAGAAAAAAAAAAATGCTTTTGTGGGCAAGGTCCAGGTCCCGTCTGCTGTGTGCAGCCTAGGGACTTGGTGCCCTGCATCCTAGCCACTCTAGCCCTGGCTAAAAGGGACCAAGGTACAGCTCAGACCATGGCTTCAGAGTGTGCAAGCCCCAAGCCTTGACAGCTTCCTTGTGGTGTTGAGCCTGCTGGTGCAGTCTGGAATTGAGGTTCGGGAACCTCTGCCTAGATTTCAGAAGACGTGGAAATACCCGAATGTGCAGGCAGAAGTTTGCTGCAGGGGTGGAGTCCTCATTGAGAACCTCTGGTAGGGCAGTGCGGAAGGGAAATGTGGGGTTGGAACTCCCACACAGAGTCCCTGCTGGGACACTACTAGTGGTTCTGGGAGGAGAGGGCTACCATCCTCTAGACCCAAGAATGGTAGATCCACGGACAGCTTGCACTGTGCACCTGGAAAAGCCACAGGCACTCAACACCAGCCCATGAAGGCAGTCCAGAGGGGGCTGTACCCAGAAAGCCCACAGAGGTGGAGCTGCCCAAGGCCATGGGAGCCCACCTCTTGTATAAGCATGACCCTGATGTGAAACATTGAGTCAAGGGAGATCATTTTGTAACTTTAAGGTTTAATGACTGACCTATTGGATTTTGGACTTGCATGCGTCCTATATCCCCCTTGTTTTGGCAAGTTTCTTTCATTTGAAATGGATGAATTTACCTAATGCTTGTACACCCATTGTATCTAGGAAGTAATAACGTGCTTTTGATTGTACAGGCTCATAGGAGGAAGGAACTTGCCTTGTCTCAGATGAGAATTTGGACTATGGACTTTTGAATTAATGCTGAAATGAGTTAATACTTTGGGGGAATGCTGGGAAAGCATGATTGTGTTTTGAAACGTGAGGACATGAGATTTGGGAGGGCCATGGGTGAAATGATATGATTTGGCTCTTACCCCACCCAAATCTCATCTTGAATTGTAGTTCCCATTATCCCCACGTGTTGTGGGAGGCACTAGGTGGGAGATCATTAAATCATAGGGGATGTTACCCCCATGCTGTTCTCATGACAGTGAGTAAGTTCTCATGAGATCTGATGGTTTTTATAAGAGGTTCCTCCACAACCCTTTCACTCTACACTTCTCCTTTCTGCCATCATGTGAAGAAGGACATGTTTGCTTACCCTTCTGCCATGATTATAAGTTTTCTGAGGCCTCCTCAGCCATGCAGAATTGTGAGTCAATTAAACCTCTTTCCTTTATAAATTACCCAGTTTCAGGCAGTTATTTATAGCAGCATGAGAATGGACTAATGTAGTTATGGTATTGTAAAAACAAATCGATTTACAATAATTTAATTAAACATCCATGACTTTGAGTATTACTGGCATGAGTACACTATGTGTTAAAAGAAAACTTGCAATTGAATAAAACTTGTTTAAAATACAGGTTATACTATCATCACAAAATGACTTATGCAAAAAAATGCATAAGTAAAATGCAAATACTCTTCTTTCATATCCTAATGAGAATATAAAATATCCAAATAGCATTCAGAAGAAAAAAATATTTAAAATTTTAATGATACACAATATTTCAAAGTATGTAACTTGTGATATTTTTGCTAAAAAATAAACCTTCATAACTTTAGGTAGTCAAAAGAGCATGTGAATCATAGTAATATTGATTTAAAATGTAACATGAATGGATAGTTTATCTGTAAGATTAGAGCATTCAGGATAACTGTTATTTGTTCCCATGAGATTACTTGATGCCATAAACCATGATGGCACAAATATTGTTCATTTATGTCACTATAAAGTGAGATTTACTGTGGAACAATCAGTACTACTTCTTATAATAGCTAGGTTTAACATTACTAATTGTATCACTATAAACCAATTTTATGGTGATATAAACATTAGAGGTAATGCTGTCAGGCTCTCATATTAATGCCTCAAAAAATACACTAATATATTGTCTGATTATATCTCTTACAAAACTGATATGCAAAGACCAAGTAGTAAAAAGAAAGCCAGAATATCATGCTGTAAGTCCCAGCAAAACAATGTAAAGTCAATGGGTATCTCTTTTAAGCATTTAGTGTCACTTCTTTTAACAAATATATGAATTTATTTAACATGAAATGACAAACAGCAATTAAAGCATTCTTTCCCAGAAATAGAGACAAGGTATATATCTTCCTCTAAGTCAATATTTACTTGATTGGGAAAAAAAATAATTATTGATTTAAAAATTATTTAGAGTAATCCTTCTAAAAATCTTTGTCAAAAGAGAACATAGGCATTCAACATAATTTCCAATGCCTGCACACTTTTCTAAAATCCCCTGCACATTGAAACAAAATTATGTTCAAGATGCATGCATGAGTATCTGCCACACCTTGGCCATTTATATTAAACAAATCTTATCTAAAATGTAAAAATTGGTTTTATTGTTATTCATCTTTTCCATCATTTGTGAGATGCAGTTATATTTCAATTATATCTGTAAAATGGAAAGGAATGTTCTTCAATATGACTTACCTTGCTTTCTTGACAAATTTTTGAAGACAAAGAGAATTAAAATGACCCCATAATATTATGGCAAGTTTTGCTTAATATTGGCTGTTCTCAGTGAAAGTCATGGTAATCACCATACCAATGTAGAATAAAATGCTATTAAAAAGCGAAACAAAGTTCCACAAGGTAAAGTCTACTAAAGAAAGAAACTAAAAAAAGCAAGATATGTTACATAAGAGCCTTAATGTGTTACTTTGATATTTATCACGCATTCTCACTTTAAAACGCATGTTTTATGTAAAACCCAAGTACTCATTACAAAAATATATCACGTGATAATGAGAAACGAATGAAATTTGTCAGAGAAGTTGAAAGACACCTCTAATGGTCACTTAGCTTTGCTAAAATGTGTTCATTCTTTATCAATGTTATGTTATAATTCATATAACTAGAAAGTGTAAGATGGAATTGGGTTGACATACTTTCTGTGGATAGAGAAAATAACTGATTCTAGGTTCAACTACTGTAAGAGAAACAAAAAGGAACATAATCCTTATTACCATGGAGCTCACAGTGCATGAGGGAAGACTAATCACATTGAACAATTATATCAGGAAACCTAACTCAGTTTAGTGTTCAGAGAAAGCCTTCCTGAGTGTGTGACATTCAAGTTGAGACTTTAAGAATACGTAAGATTTAATCTGCAAAAGAGTGTACAGAATTGCTCTCAGGCAGAATAAAAGAAATCTGTATAAAATATCTGTCTGAAATAGCTGAATTTCCTGAAAAGGAAGTATCAATATGGTTGGAGCACAGTGACAGATGGGATGAGTGACATTAGATGAGGCTAAAGGGGGAGGCAGTGACTGGATAACACAGAACACCACAGGGCACAACTCTTTTATTTCAATAAATACTCACCACAGAGTTTGGCACTAGATAATAGCGTTATGTACTTTCTGTTTTATAAAGGCCTTTCTAGTAGAAAATGTGAATGATAGATTGAACATAAGGGGAATAGGGTCAGGAAGAGCTATTGCTATTATAAACTATTCCCAAAACACTACCCAGAGTAATTCTATTAACAGATTAAGTCAGATTACACCAATTCACTGCTCATAAACCTGCAGTGGCTTTCTATGTCACTTAGAGAAAAAGCCAAAACCGTTCAAATAAAATTATAAGCCCTATTAAAACTCTGCCCTCTTACTTCTCTTGAACTCTTCTCCTTCTCCCTTGTTGTTGCTTATTCTTTACCAGCCATATTGGTTACTGGGCTATTGATTAAATTTACTGAGTGTCTTTCTATCTTACAGCTTGGAAACTGGCAATCTCCTCTATGCAGAATTCTCATCTCCCAGACCACCTCATGACACAGTCTCTTGACTACTTTGTTAATCTTTGGTAAAATGTCACTTTCCCAATAAAGCTGTCCACAGTTTAAAAAATTACAACTTAATTTTAAAATTTAAAACTGGCCCACACCCCAACCTTCGTTTATCCTGCACTGCATTATTTGTCATTGCAGTGTCTAGATCTCAACAACAACAAAAAATTAGCAACTTATTTTTAAGTTTCCTGTTTATTGTCTAAATCCTTCAACTAGCATCGATAAGAGAAATTATTTGTTTCCTTAATTGCCTCAAGTACCCAAGATCCCAGAATAGTACACGGCATATATACTAACTAAATGAATATTATTAGAATCAATGAATGAATGAACCCCTTTGAGCAGATATAGTGAAATGGATTCTCCCTTACAGCCTCCAGAAGGGAATGAAGATCTGCCAAGACCTTTATTTTAACCCAGTGGGACCTATCCGGGAGTTCTAACCTACACAAATCTAAGATAAAAATTTGTGTTTTAGACCACTAAGTTTCTGGTAATTTTCTACAGCAGCAGTAGAAAACTAATATACTAATTTTGTAATAGTGGAAAACATCCACTAAGTCATAGTATATAACTCATTTCATATGTTGCTAGATTTAATTTGCTAACATTCTGTTGAAAGTTTTTGTGTCTATGTGTCTATATCTATAAGGGACCTTGGCCCACAGTGTTCTATTCCTATGAAGGTCTTTGTTGTTAGTTCTTAGGATTTTACTGCATCAAAGGATGAATTGGCAAGTATTGTCTTCTCCTAATGTTTGAAAAAGTCTGTGAAAGACTGACAATAATGCTTTTTATGAATTTTTGTTTGTTAGGTACACCAGCTTAGCTATCTGGGTCTGGGCTTTCTGTGTGTGTGTGTGTGTGTGTGTGTGTGTGTGTGTGTGTGGATGAAGGAAGTTTTTAAATTTCTAATTTAATTTTTCTGCTTCTTATAGGTCTATTCATATTTTTTATTTGATCTTGAGTCAGTTTCCATAGTTATTCTCTTTTTAGAAATAGGTTCATTTTGTTCATGTTATCTGATTTGTTGGCGTGCAATTGTTCCCAATATTCTCTTATAATTTTTTTTATTTCTGTAAATTTGTTAGTTATATGCCCTCTTTCATTCCTGGTTTTATTAACTCGATATTTTTTCTTTTCGCTTTGTCAGTCTACCTAAACCATTATCAATTTTTACTGATTATTTCAAATAACAAATTTTGGTTTTGTTGATTCACTGTTGTTTTTCTGTTTTCTATTTCATTTATTTTACTTATAATTTCATTATTTCTTTTTCCTTGCTTTGAGTTTACTTTGTTATTTATTTTCTAGTTTCTTAAGTTGGAAAGTTCAGTTATTAGAGATATTTCTTCTTTTTCAATATAGGACTCCACAGCTATAGAAACCCTCCTAAGTGTTACTTAAGTCACATCCCACAAGTTTGGGAATATTATATTTTCAATGTAACTCACCTCAAAATATTTTCTAATTTTTCTTGTGATTTATTCTTCGACCAGTTAATTACTTAGAAATGTGTTGTTAAATTCTCCTGTTACTGTGATTTTCCAAATTTTCCTACTGTAGTTAATTTGTCATTTTATTAGGTTTATAAAATTATTACATGATTTAATTCTTTCAAAATTATTGAGATTTGTTTAGTGGCCTCAAATATGATCAGCCCCATAAAATGTTCCATGTGCACTTATGAAGAATATGCATTTTGCTGCTGTAGAAAAGGTGTGTTAAATAGAAGCCTGTTAGGTCTAATTGTCTTATAGTATTGTGTAGTATAATACTGTGTGTTATGAGGTGCTTCTCTCAGAATATTAAAGATCCTTTCTTTCCATTTAGCTTTTGACAGTTTGATAATGATGTGCCTATGAGTGGATCTCATTGAGTTTATACCACTTAAAGTCTGTTGAGTTTCTCAGATGTGTAAATTAATAGCTTTCATCAAATTTGAGAAAATTTTTGTAATTATTTTTTCATTTTTTTTCTATTTCTTTCTCTATCTTCTCTCCTTGAAATCTCATTGTGTAAATATTGAGCCACTTGTTGGTCCCACATGTCCTGATGCTCTTAATTTACTTTATTCTTTGTCTTTCTGTTTCTCAGATTGGATAATGCTAATTAATCCTTTTGTTTTATTCACCAATTCTTCTTCCAGGTTAAGTTTGATGTTGAGCCTCTCCATAAATTTTCATTTCAGTTACTGTACTTTGCAATTCCAGAATTTATATTTGTTTCTTTTTCTTTTTTTTTTTTTTTTTTTTACAATTTCTATCTTTGTATTGATATTCTTTATTTGGTGAAACACCATTCTCATAACTTCCTTTGCTGATTTAGGGACACGTAGCATAGATGGCAACTCTAGAAGCCACATTTCAGTGTTTTGTGTTGTTGCTGCTGTTTGTTGCCATTGCTTTGTTGTTGTTGTTTGTTATTTTTATAGTGATTTTCCTGAAGAATTCTGTAAAGTCTGTACCACGATACAATAACTGCCAAACTCTCTGCTTATTAGTGTAGTTGTCACTGATGATTAGAAATTTCCGTAAATATCTTAAACTATTGAGCTGCCCAGACTTTGCCAATGGGCTTCCTTTGCATGTTGAATCATGTCTTCAAATGCTCCAATAGGGAGTTTACAATTACAACTTTAATTCCTGCTTGTGAAGTGTCTCCAGGTTAGCCACACGCAGGAAATTAGTGACTTCTCATGTATTTCCTGGGTATGCCCACCGCCCTGTACGTGTTTGTGTCTTTCTAGATTGCCAGAAATATATTGATGCTATTTAAAGCTTCCTGTGGACATGTGAATCCTCAGGTTTTACTTTTAAGTTTTTTAGTCACTTTCATGTTTTTCCTACCTGGTATCACTGCCTCAGGTAGCTGCAAATTTAGCAATTACCACTAATCCTTTCCAAAATATACCCTTGGAAAAAATTGTTTGCAGTTAGCAAGCTCTGCATTAGGTCACATAAAAACAATGGGGGTTTCCAAGGAACTGCTGTGGAGGTCATAATAATAATTTCCTGGGAATGGGGCTTTTGGACAAATCTAAATCTATTCTACTTCTGCTGTGAGCTGATAGGCTACTGATTTACATGACTACCATGGCTGTTAGATTGTTGGTTTTGGAAAGGGGTTGTTTTGTTTTGTTTTATTTGTTTTTGAGATTGAGTCTTACTCTATTACCCAGTCTGGAGGGCAGGGGTGCATTCATGGCTCACTGCAGCCTTTACCTCCTGGGCTCAAGCGATCCTCCCATATCAGCCTCCTGAGTAGCTGAGAGTAGCGCCACCATGCCTGGCTAGTTACTGTTATTATTATTTATTTTTTGTAGAGACAGGGTCTTCCTAAGTTGCCCAGGCTAGTCTTGAACTCCTGGCTCAAGTGATCCACCTGACTCCACCTTCCAAGGTGTTTAGATTACAGGCATGAGCCACAGTACCCAGTGGATTGTTGGGCTTTAAGACTACAATGGAGCAGAAGTGTTTGGAATGGAAATACAGCAAGTTGAAATGTAAAAATACTCACTATATTTTACTGAGATCCAGTTACTTTTTTTGACTAAATGTTTCTTAGATTGCTACAAGATCTTAGTAAATTTCAGAGTTTTAAAAGTTGACTTTGACAATGTTTAGTAGTATTCTTAATGATTTAATGGAGGAGAGGATTTTAGGAGATTTTTACTCAACCATAACTGCTGACATGACTTCCTGCTCTTTTTCTAAGAATATAATGGATAATGGATAAACCACATACAAGGACTTTTATATAAATCATGATGAACCTAAGGAATTAGCAAGTTATCCATTTATAACAAGACTTTTAAAAAGTCTAGATTTACTGTATTAAAAGACTCATTTTTGTCATCCTGTGACAAATCTCAAACCATGCCATTTACATTAGAAAAGTAATGTATCATTTCTATTCAGTCCATCAATTATGCCATTTTTGTATTATTTTAATCTACTTTCTATATAATATTTTCTCAAAATTATTTGAAATATTAATACATATTCTTTTTCTGTTGCAATAAAATTTATTTTTTTCCTTCAGGAGGTCACTCAGCCTTTTGGACAATTTCATAATAGTTCTGTCACGGTGTCTGCAGAAAGAGTTGAGCTTATACATTTATACATGCCACGTGTAAAAGAGTTGAGCTTTTACACGTGGCATGTATAAATGTCATTTTCTTTCATGTTTGAATTGGTAGCAAAAATTTTCTGCTTTATAACAATAAAGTCACCTTGTTGTTGTAAAATTAAATATTTTAAAGTCACAAAAAAAACCAGAAAGTATCACAAGATAATTTTTCTAGTTAGCACCCAGAGCCTTCTTCCACTGTGTTATATTATTTCTTTCTTTCATCATAACGCCCTTCTACCCTGATTTATTATTTCTTTGTCCAGGTAAATTTCCAACTCATTCTCCTTTGCACATAGATTCTAATAAAATTTGCTTCTCACAATGCCTTCTCTTAGCTAAAATTCCTGTATTTCACTCAATGTTCATTTCCATTTCACCCTCTCTGAAGCCTCTCTTAATTTCCCTGGGGCACAAGTGAGCACTCACTTCAAAATTCCCACAATCCTTTTTCACTCCTGAGACTTGTTATTTTAAAAAGACGGAGAAAAGGAATCTGAGGAATTAAAATTAAATTTAATTTCAACTTGAGAAAAGTGCGTAACTCATATCTTTCTCACTGGAAAATGGTTATATTAATGACTGCATCATAAGGCTGTCAAATATGCAAAATGAAAGTATGCACATAAATGTGATTTTTTTAAGCAATTAATGAATATAAGTTAGTAATGGAATGTTGTGCATTATCTATCCAACAATATTTTTAATTCTGTACCTGCTGTACTTACACTGTACTGTGATTTATGCATGTATTAATTTATTATATGGAAAGAATAATTTTTGTAAGTAAAAAAATAAAACATTTGCCAAATTTCAATATAGATTAACTCCTTCAGATCTTATTAACAGATATATATATATATATACACTTAACGTGAATTTATTATTTTAAATCATCTGCCTTATATCAACTTTTCAAAAGTATGGCTGGTTTTAGGTTGTGTAAGTCTATATAAATGTTTTTATATTTACAGTATACTAATTGCTATTTAAAGATATGTGTTTTCACTGCATTTAAGTCAACAATGTAAAATTTTATTCATAAGAAGATTATCTTGATGAAAAAACTTGAAAATTAATTTAAAAAATGTTCATTAGGTCTTGGTGATAAAAAACTGACTGAATTAATTCATGTCCTAAGTGAGTTACATAATGAGCATGATAAAGAATACAAAGATACAAGTAATAAACCTTTGCCATAACCATATGGAGTTTTTGTTTGTTTATTTTTTGTTTTTTTTTTTTTGGTCGTTGTTGTTGTTTTTTAGATTGAGTCTCACTCTGTTGCCCAGGCTGGATTGTGGTGCAGCTGTTATTTTGTCTCACCCTCCCGAGTAGCTGGGATTTCAGGCATGTGCCACCACGCCTGGGTAATTCTATTGTATGTGTGTGTGTGTGTGTGTAGAGATGAGGTTTCACCATATTGGCCAGACTGGTCTGAAACTCCTGACCTCAAGTGATCCGCCCACCGCGGCCCCCCAAACTGCTGGGATTACAGGTGTGCGCCACTGCGCCCGGCCCGGCCCTATATGGGGTTTCTTAGTTAACTGGATTTGCAATGTCATATTTTTAACAAGAATATAAAATGTTGCCATATCTCTATTGCGGGATCTGGCCCTCAGCCCGCAATGCAACGGGGCTCTCTCTTTGTTCCCAGGCGGATCGGCAGGTTGAGAAATAATAGACACACACAAGATAGTGAAAGCTGGTTCCAGGGGGGTCACTGCCTTCTGGTCCCACACTGCCAACAATACACTGGATATACCAGTATTTATTATTAAGTTTAGTGAGGGCGGGGTAGGTTAGTGAGGGATTTAGGGTCATTTGATTATGAGGTGAGATGGTCACATCGGGATGAAGTAATTTTTAACATAACATTTGTATGTAGAAGTACAGTATAGAAAAATAAGAGTTTACAATATAGTGTGTACGTCAGTAATTTCTAACAGAGCCTTTGAACAGAAACACAGTCTTTCCATAACCTATGATTAGGAAGATATTAATCAGCAGTAACAATTGCAACAAAAGCTGTTTACAAACAATCCATGGAAACAGGATGTGAAGCTAGACAACCGGTTAGACCAGAAATTCTCAGAAGGGCGTATGCCTTAACCCTAAAGAGGCCTAGAAGAGCCGCGGCAAGATGAGGGCGTTTATAGTCTTGTCTTATCCATATGGACAGGCGCCCTCCATGCGTCCGTTTATAGGCTCCCCACAAGGGTCACATTCCATTCCCAGAGCTATGAACATCTGCTTTTCTGGGATAGGAATCTTGGTGATGTGAAACCTCCCTTACTGCATGTCCATTCATAGTCTGTCTGCAGGGGGAAGTGCATCATGCACTGTTGGCTCATTCTGGCAGTCCAACCTGGCATTGTCTTTACACAATCCTGCATGCAATTTTGTATTTACAATAATCAGGAGCATTTCACCTTTTATTCCATAGCAATAGTTTCAGGGGGTCTCCATACATATCTCCACACAACTAACCCTTCAATACAGAGTAAAACACTCAGAAACTCTATGCTTATAGTCAGGCTACAAATGACTTCCTTGATTTTCTATATAATGTACTTGCTTGCATTATTTTAACACTCTTTTCAGATACTAGTCACTCTATTATCTCTGCAGTCATTACAGATATGTGACAAAACTCCTTGGAGGTGAATCCAGGACAATTTTCTTAAAATATGGCCATATTTTATCTTTTCTGATAAATTTAGAAAATAGTCATTATGCCAAACACAATCAGTTGAATTCTATCTCCAAAACATTTCTAAAATTTTGTGGAATACATGCAATAAATCAATAAAATGCTGTGGTCTTGTCTTATTTTAGAAATGGTTTGGTTAGTGCATTTGGATTGAGTATACTGACAAGACATGCTCTTGGGTTTCTTCAGATACTCTGTGAGTGATAATAAGATAAGATGAAGGAGGAGAAATCCAATAATATGACTCTGTCAAGGCTTTCCTAGCTCTGATCCTTCAAGACAAAACCAGGAGATCTGGAGAAATTGACTCAGAATTGTTTTCTCAAGAAGACACTGTTGTCTCCTACACAGATATAAGCCAACAGTCTTAGTAAGACTCTTGCTGTTAGACCAATTTGAAAACCAGGGTATTTTGACTATTAGTGCTAAAGAATTCCTTTCTACTAAGATAAGTTATTGTAAACTTAGTTAAAATGGAAAATATTTCCCCCAAATTTCCCTTTTCTATATGGTTACATTTTAGAGTTGACAAAAGAGGAACTGTAAAATATTAGAAGATTAGAGTGAATCGATGGTCCTTACTCTCAAAGGTAAGACATAGTGGTCAATATATTCAGAGGTCCTGGCGGTTACTACCTCCTCTTCATTCTTCCGCATCATGCGTATCTCATCTTAACAGCTGCCATCCTAGTATCCAAAACAGACTCAGTTTCACAACCAGACACTTGGTTGTAGACTACAGAGGTGGTAGCTACACAGAGGCAGCACTTTCCCAGGATTCTTGACAGCCACATCTGCTCCTTACCCACACCTCAGGGGCTGGATGCGCTTGGGTTCTCAAATTCTAGTGAAAGCCCTAACGTTCCCACACAGGTAGGTGCTTTTGGTAAACTGATTAAATGACTCCAGTCTCTAATTAGCCTCCTCCTTCAGATCTTCACTTTCCCAGCTTTTGCCACAATTGTATAGGAAATACTGTAGTTTACTCATACCTTTATCTTGTGGTTTTGCTTCTCTCAAACCCTGACTAAATATTCTTTTTATATAAACTATTTATTTAGTTAGTTGGTTATGAATTTTTTTCTCGAGATTTTAAAACATTCTTTAGATCATTATTCTTTTATTGGCTGGTCCACTGTATATACTCTTGATAATCACTTTGAGATTTTTTTATTATTTTGTCTGTAATTCCTACAATTCATATTACTATAAGTTCTGTTGCTTAGATAGTCAACCTCCAGGATTGACCCTCCTTTTCGTTTTTATTAATTCCTGAGGTTCAACTTTTCTCTTTCCTATCCTCACGTCAAATTTTGAAGATTTATTTTTTCAAACTTATATTCCCTCCCTTTTTTAAAAGAGGTCTTTTTTTTTTTTCATTTAACAGCTTTTGCTTACTCTTCATATTTCACTTTTTAAAAAATTATTGACAGGGGAAATGTGTTTGGCCCATCAATTATTAATAATCACATCCCTATGTGCTTAACAGAAATGCAGAATTTTAGGACCCACCCCCAAACTAATACATCAGAATCTACATTCTCAGCAAGATGCTCAAGTGAGTTTATATCCACATTAAAGTTTGAGAAACAGGTTTAGATCAAATTTCATATGTATCCAGTTAAAACTGAAACTGTAAGTTTTCTTCAGTAAATGGGTTTTCCATGCTCTATTAAATCTTTTTATGCTGGCCATTAAAAAATCATCTGAAGAATCCATTCCTGTTTTTCTGGCTGTTTCTGATTGGCTGTCAATATTTTGTATCTGTTAGAAATTTAAATGTTGGTTCCTTTTGGGGCTCACTCGTTAATTCTTTGTAGATTCTATGGTATCTCTAAAATTATATTTTAACTGTGGTTTGACATTGTCCAATTTCTCACCTTCTATCCCTCATGATAAAACGCAGAGTGGTAAAACAGTTTATGCTCACTTTCTCTTTGTGTCTGCTTTGTCCATGGATCACTAACTTATCTCTGACAAATCAAAATATAAACAGTTACACTGTTGTGCTTTTTCCCCTCTTAATATCTTTTTTAAATGTTTTTCCTGGCTCAGATAAACACAGGGAAGCAAGCCTATTACCTAATTAGAATCCAAATGGGAAATAAAATGTAGATGCATATCCAGTAGCCATTTCTAATTTTGAAGAAAAAAGATACTCTTTGGGAGCATCCCATCTAACTTAGTAAGATAGAGGGCAGAGGAAGTAATCTCCCACCAAAACAACTACAATTTAATTAGATGATTCATTCACATATCAGTCTTTAAGGACAAGATATCTGAGCCAAATTTCAAGGCAAACATATATGCTGAGAAAATGAGGGTAGAATCCTTAAAAGATGAAAAGCAGAGAAGGGAAACCCAACATTATGTGGATAAACTTTCTCCAAATCACTAGCTTATTTTGAACCATATACACGTGCAAAAGTCTCAAAGTAATCAGATAAGGACAAAAGAAATGAACTGAGATTTTTAACTGCCACCTAAGAGAAACATTGTGTTTGAATCCAACTGTTAAAACAAGTCAATATTCCTTGACAAAGTATGAGGAAATCTAGTCTTTCCACAATATGACATTGCACTGACTGACATAAAACCCAAAATTATCGAGCAATAATAGACGAAAAGTGACATATGTTCAGATAAAAAAATAAAGATAAAGATGACCAGATGTTGGAATCAGTAGACAAGAATGTTAAAGCAATAATTATAGTTGTATTTAATGATGCAAAAGTAGGCTTACAATCAAGAAAAAGAAAATCTCAACAAATAGAAACTGTTACAAAATATAAATGCAAATTCTGAAATTGAAAATATATAATGTCTAAAAAATTTAGCAATCAAAATCACGTTACCTTCAGAATAGTAAACAGAAAGAATATGGAAAAGTGAATTCCACTTCCACATACTAACAGATAAAACTACTGTGTTAGAACAGGATAGTAATGTTTGCAGAATAAAGAGATACATTAATAAAGTGCTATAGAAAGCTTAGAATAAATCTAAATATAAATAGCTATTTAGCATATTACATACAGTAACATGAAGTTATACATTTTTCAATAAATTATTTGAGAAAACAGACCTTTTTGAGGCTTAAATAAATTATCATATAGACAATATTTAAATACAATATGACATAGTAACTATCATAATTTTTCTATTTGTATTAGTAATATTACTTTTACTGATCATGAGGGTATGGTTGATAATGGACTGTTTCTAGGGAATAAATTTTCAACAAGTATTTTTTAATACATTTAGTCATACCCTTTGTCCCTAAAAATCTAATCAAAATTTATGCTAAGAAATAAGAAAGGATAGTCAGAAGTTTTGTAGTAAAATTTCTGACAGCATAAATGTCCAACAGTAGTTGATTGATTGAATGGTTCAGGATGACTTACACGACAAATACTTTTACAATCTAAAAACACTACTAAACTCTTTACAGAAGCAATGCAATACGTAAAGTACTATTGCAGACACTGTATGTCAACAGACATCTCTACCCCAATTTAGCTTTACTACCTTCTAATAGATAAAATAAATGACAGAAATTTGAATTTACCGTCACCGGTATAGCTATAGGTGGTCCTATTTCAAATTCAGTGTGGTAAAATGGGGAAGACAACCTATAATCTTGTGAACAAGTTTCCTTCATTGACATAAGAAAAGAAGAAAGGAGTTGCTGGTACAATTTTTTGCCCTTTTTACTCCCTTGAAAATGGAAATGAAACCAAGAACTATGATAACCATCTTTCAAACATGAGGTTACAAGTGTGAAACGAGGAAAAGAAAAAGAAATGTATAGAGGCATAGAATAAGAGACAGAATCTGGATTATTGATGATATCATAAAACTACTACCAAATCAAAATTATGCACCTCATATATCCTGCAAGAATTAATGAAATATGTAGTTTATTAACACTACTGTTATTTTATTTATTTATTTATTTATTTTGAGACATGCTTTGCTCTGTCTCCTAGGCTGGAGTGCAGTGGGGCTATTTTGGCTCACTGCAACCTCTGCCTCCTGGGTTCAAGGAATCTTCCCACCTCAGCCTCCTGAGTACCTGGTACCACAGGCACATGACACCATCCCCGGCTAATTTTTTCTATTTTTGTAGAAATACAGTTTCACTATGTTGCCCAGGCTGGTCTCGAACTCCTGAGCTCAAGCAATCAGCCTGACTCGGCCTCCCAAAGTGCTGGGATAAAAGGCATGAGACACTTCACCCAGCCTGCCACTGTCATTTTGTTACATATAGCTGAAAACATTTCTTACAGATGCAAGATCTATCACAATAAATCAAACTGAACAATTATACTATCATATGTTCAATTTATGGCTAAGTACAATTTCCAGAGATTACATAGGGCTGGTCTAATGGTGTAAAGAATGTGTTTCATATGAGGTGAACTCTAATGTCAAACTAATAACCCTAATCATTACAGGGATATATTTTGAAAAGATTAAACACAATGGTGGGTAGGAAGACGTATATATGATTGATTAAACCAGAGCACTTATGGACTGAAGATATCCTCTTAATATATGTAGTGTTGCAAGTGACTCAAACTCTCTTGGGCAAACCACAATGTATGGTCTCACTAGTTTGGGGCCAGGGTGGTTATTCTGCAAGGTTATCTAAAATTTTTTTTTTAAATGGATTGATCTATGAAAAGTAACTAGGGCTTTTTGTAATCTGGCAAGTAAATAAGGCTTTAAAAAAAAACAGGCATATGAGAAAACTAAAGGCTTCTGCAAATTCCCATGTACTATGTCTGTCTCTTTTGTTCTTGCCTGTCATCAGCTTGTAGTACAGAGGCATCTTGTTCATTGCTGCAATGAATATATTAAATATATCTTTGCTATGCTAAAGATCTGGGTCATTATGACATTCATGTTCATAGGTGGATGCTGCTCTCTCGCCAATTGAGGAAAGTTAATGTTTCCTAAAAAAAAAATCATAAAAGAAAAGAAAACCATTAAGCAGTTGACAATTATGGGCAATACGGTAACTTTATATAAGAGACACCCATTAACCAAATGTTGTACTTTCATATTTAAAAGTCACATGGAAAATAAAAGACAAGTAAAAAACAAATGATTGCTAAGAGCTCATGTTGACTGCTCAGCTGATTCAGCACAGACTGACAAGTCTAAACAGTACTAAATAATAATTGAAAGCAGTCTTGCCAAAAATGTGCTTTCGCCCCAAATTTAATTGGTTATGCATTTTAACTTTCATTTTATTATTCTGAATTATGCCACTGGAGTTTTAGAAATTAGGTAAAAAGTAAATAATGCTTTCAAATGCTTTAGGAAAGAATGCATACATATGATTAGTGCTGTCCACAAACTAGTACTCATTCCGTAAATCAAATATGGAACTGTCTTACTTTATTGTATCCATATCTTCAATATCCCAGCAGGTTTGTATAATATAAATGGGACATGTAAAACTTCCCAATCTAGATCTTGTAAACTAAGTCTTAATGGTTTTTCCCACCAATTTTGAAAGCCTCTTTGCATTAATTTATTACCCCAATTTAAAAAATGCATTGAATACACATTCTTAATTTTCATAAATCTTAAAGGTTCAGTTTTTATCCATTTGTATTACAGCTATTGATCTCATTTCCAAAACAATGTAAAGACTTTAAAAAGGTCAATTTTTCTATTTCTAAAATTAAAAGACTTACACTCTTATATTTTTTGGAAGTGATGGTTATTGGAGGGAGTTGTATTTACTTTCCTATTAAAAAGACATAGTTTGGTCAAGCAGGGATTGATTGATTTATATCGGAATTTGAAGTGTTTATCAACACTCTTGTCACATTGAGATAAGCTTATTACAGCTACTTCAGCTGGTTTCCCTGATAAGAGTTTGTTTAAATGTGTGGGCAAAACTATTTATTCAAAAGAGAATACTTCTTTTTTATTTTATTTTTTATGAGTACATAGTGGGTACATATGTTTATTGGGTGTATGAGATATTTTGATACAGGCATACAATGTGTACTAATCACCCTGGGGTAAATGGGGTATCCACCGCCCTAAACATTTATTATTTCTCTGTGTCACAAACATTTTTCTGTCTGTTCAGAAGCCTTTGTACTCTTTGTCACTTACAAGTGCAACAAAGCATTTATTCCAGAGTTACTTGTCCCAGTGCTTGAATTACCTGTGGCTTTAATCCAACACATATAAGAAACTTCTAGCTTGTATGTAGCTATGAAGACAAAACTATCTGACTGTTTGGTATGTGCAGAGTTTAAACAGAAAAACCTTTATAGGTCATATACATATAATCGTTGGGAAATTCTATTATGTAGGTATGTACACCATAGGAATCAAAAGCATTATCTGGGCCTCTATATTAGCCTACAGCCAAGTGTCCTGCCTGAGGCACTGGTCAGTTCCACAAAGTTGTTTGGGGATAATAAATACAAATTTTAGTCATAAAATATCTAAGAAGTTAAATAGAAAAACATATTAAAGGTAATAACTCATCATAATTTTAAATTTTACATGTTTACTTTTCAAATTACAGTTAAATAATTTATTAATAAAATGTCTGTTAATGAAACAGCAAAAAAATTGGCATTTATTTATATTTTTGTTTTTTAGAGAGAGAGTTTCACTCTGTGCAGTTGTATGATCATAACTCCTGGCTAATTAAAAAAAAATTACAAAGATGGGGTCTTGTTGTATTGCCCAGGTTGGTCTTGAACTCCTGTCTTCAAGAAATCATGCAGCCTTAGCCTCCCAAAGCACTAAGATTAACAGAGTGAACTACTGTGTCTGGCCACAGCCCAGCATTTATTATTCTCCCTTGCCATTACCTGGTTATAACTTTATCACAACAGCTTTCTTTTCAATTGCGTCGCAGTGCTGAAATGAAAAGCCCTTAATTTTGTTGTTGTCACTGTTCCTGTCATCCCTAACAAGATGCCATACAATGTGTGACACACTCCTAGAGACAGATCATAAACAACTGACTGTAAATTTGTTGGAACTGTAAGTTTGGTGAAACAACAGCTTTCTCACATAAGCATCTTTATATTTTACTCATTATAACCCTCAAAGGGTTATACTATAATCTGGACTTCAGCTACCTTTTAACTTTATTTTTTACTAATTCACCTTTTTAATATTATGTCATTTGTATTCTTCAAATGAGCCAGACTTCTGATTACCTGATGACCTAGTACCAGGTCTTAGAATTCAGATTTTGTACTCAAATGTCTCTAATTTCTGCAGCTCTTCCTTCCAATAAAAGACTTATCCCACATATTTGCAATAATCCCATTCCTGTTATCTAAAGTCAGTGTCACTTGCAACTTGAGTTAATATAAAAACTGGTGTTTAAATTTGAATGATGTCATAAGTGACCTTTAAGTATGAAACTGACCGAACTGGGAGAGAAAGGTAGATAATGAGGATTTCTTCACTCTGGGCAGTGAGAACAACCACTCTTGTGATGTAATGGCAATGAAACTAGTTAAATGATTGCTGCAGGGAATTTTAAGCTTTAGGGAAGTACTTATTTTTGGAAAAAAAAAATCACACGTGTAGACAATTATATTTTCTTATCTCACTAAATAAACATTTGATCCTAAAGAAGTCCAGAGGCTTGCCTAGAGGTTCCCATAGTCTTTGTTTCTGCCATGTCAACTCAGGATTGAGGGAATAAATACGCCAAACACATGTCCCTGATGGAGAGCTTTGTTGTGAGGGACCTGATATAAAAGCTCAGAATACTGGATGCATGGCTGCTTCTTGCAACCTGTGGTAAGACGTTTCAACGAAAGAGCTGCTTTCCAAGCTGGCCTATCTGGAAACAGAAAGAAATAGCAAAGAGAACCATCCATGTAATTGGTTTTGTTAAAAATGCCCTTTCTGCTGTAACCAGTTATTTATGAATGCAAGGTTGAGGGAATTGTGCATCTTTAAGATCATGAAGCTAAATCATGCGCCTCATACTGAAGTTGTGTGAAAAATGACAGGAATGTGGAAAACTCAGTAGGAGATAAGATGAGCACTCAGGAGGAGATGGAGAAATGGGGCAAGGGTGAATTTTCCTGGCCCTTCAAATTAATATTCTAGACAATCATGTCTCCCTCATTGTCCCAAAACAACATTGTTAATAGTCTTTCCTGAAAAGCATTATTTATGAAAATGTAACCTGGCGAATAGCAAGGAGCTTTTTAAATTAAACATCATGGCAAAGTCCATGCGGTACCCTGTAACTGAGGTTGCAGAAACCTCAACTGCCTTCTAAAATAGAAATCCCCAAGGCAGGGCTAAGATACAAATAAATCAATAAACAACTGTTTTCATGGTATTGCGTTGCCCCTGAAACTCTGAAACAATAAAAGGGAGTTTTGTGATTGTTCTTTACTAGAGCAAATTTCAGGTTATCATAAACATGACCAAAGTAATTTGGCCCACTAAAGTCATGTAATACCCATTTGGGGAATGCTCCCCAGTACCCCATGCTGATATGTCCACTGAGTATACAAAGGAAATATTAAGAGACTCACTCATTAAGCAAACAGAAGAAACCTATAAAAATCTTGTTTAGAAAGCTACGCATTTGCTTTGACCTATAGGCTGTAAAATAAAATTCCTTCATCTTTTATCTGTGCTTACAGTTTCTGGGGTTTATATGTATATGTATATTTTTGCAATAAGTTGCAGAATGAAGAGAGGCCACTTCTACAATTAATAAAAGGAACTCACATTGATGAGATATTGATATGATGTTCAACACAGTTTTAAATATTATTGTGGACAGTCTTTTTTGGAATTATTTACAATTGTATGTGGATAGTTGCATTAAAGTTGGGGGCATTCTGAAAATTAAAGGAAATATGTATGCTTATGTGTGTGTGTAATCATGTATGTTGGGCAACCAAGAAGTAACTTGTGGCTATGGACCTTTTCTGCCAGCATCTCTACCCTCCAGTTTCTATTAATAGACCTTATTTTCCTGACCATTGAGGGTTGATTATGTGGCTGATGCTGGGAGACCATGGTCAGAGAAGCACCTGTGCCTTGAGTCTCTTTTTTTTTTTTGAGACAGAGCCACACTCTCTCATCCAGCTTGGAGTGCAGTTGTGTAATCATAGCTCACTGCAGTCTTGAATTCCTGGGCTTGTGTCTTCAGCCTTAGTAACTGGAAATCATCTTTGGAATTATCCTTCTTGAGTTCCTGGGAAATGTATTCTTCTTCCTCTTTGGTAAAAGGCTTTTAAGATAATAACTCAAGAACTACCTGAAACCATGCTGAAGCACACAAGATAAAACATGAGAAAAAACAAACAAAAAACCACTGTGACATCAAGAATGAAAATGGAGAAGAGATACAGAGAGTTTCCTGAGTGTCCAGTCCCTGAGAGGCCTAGAGCTGGGTCATTTCCTGAAGTGCCATTCTGAATTCTCAGAGTTACCCCCGTTCTCCTCAAATAATTTGTGTGGTTTTTTTTTTAGTCATTCTTTCTTAGGCCATGTTGACTTGGGTTTTTATCACTTACAAGTGAAAGAGTTGTGAATCATGCAATTGACTTTCAACTCTGACATTCTTAGATGCTAAGATATTAAGTCTGTCACCAGGAACACACCCAAGACTGTTTAAGCATTTGATGATAAATATGAAAAAATCACTAGTCGAAGCAGTCCTTCCCTGATTAAGTTTGTCATTCATATTTCAGCCTGTACTGTATGACAGTAATTCAATCCTAACAACCACCTTGGAGAGCCATCTGTAGAAATGAAAGGCAGTGAAAACACTTGATTAAGGAGAATTATTTCCTGCATTTATTCATCTCCTTTGATCCACTTAAAATAATTTATGAGATTGAGTTTCATTGAAATAATATAATTAAATATAATATTAATTTTCACTAAACTTTAAAAGGAACAAGAAGACCACATCTGTTTTGTTGGACTCTATATCATATAGAAGACACTGTGTTAATATTTACAGACCTCTAAGATGATTATTTTTCACTCTGCTACTTGTTTTCTTGTGATCCTGGGCTGCTGACCTCTGTGAGCCTCAATTTACTCATCTATAAAAGTGGATATATGACAGTGAACCAACATAGCTATTCAATTAATGTTACAATCTCAGAATACAATTGGTAGATTCAAGCAAATAAGGATCTATCTACTACCGAATACGTGACCTAGAACAAGTTACTTGACCTTATTTGTGCTTTTTAAGAAAGTTTTAATTATGTATAGTGATTCTATCCTATGTCTCCCATCTCCATAAGTCTTGACATCTATGGATTGTTTCTTTGCCCTATTAGTTTCTTCAAAAAATTAATTGCAAGTAGTGAGTATGATTACAAAGCAGATCAGTTTAAATCACTCTAATATCCTGTGCAAAATCTTTTTTAAAATAGCTTAAAAACTGCAGCCATATGGTTCTATATTAAAAATTATATGTGAAGATTAATATTTATAAAATTAGTTATTTCTTACTTTTTTTAATTTGCTATAATGTAGAGGTGAAAGTAAAGTACCAGTAAAACAAATGTAAGATTGACAAGGAATATCTTTGAAGAAATGTTTAAGAGTATGGAAATTAGATGGTATAAGTAAATCAGAACGATCTTTTTTTATAAAACAAGATAAATTTGGGCTTTTAAAATTACTATTTCAAAAGAGGTAAATATAACCAGAATTCAATTCCTGGCCAATCTATGTACTGCAGATATCTGAAAACTGGAGCACAGAACGGATTCTTACTCAGTAACCAAGAACATATGGTACTAGATCAAGAAGAGCTGAAGAATTTTTTTTTTCTGTATCTTCAATTACTCAGTTAAGAACAAACTGTAGAAGAATAAGAGGGGAAATAGAGACAATTAGTGAAGGCCTTACATTTCTCTAGGTAGTAATGTGAAAATCTTAGAACTAAAAGGTAAGAGAGGAGGTGTTGAGAAGTAAATAAATATGTGGTTTAGAAACATACTTTCAAGGTAGATGGAAAACGAACTTGTGGAATTACATGTTAGGGATAAGAGGAAAAGAAGAAAATTGAGTGATTCTAGGACTGTGTCTTTATCAAATATGTGCAAAGGAGACATAAGTGGACAGGACTGAGAGAAGACCATATTTAAGGTGGGAGAAGGAATTAAGATCTTTTGAGGTATTCTCTAGATGAAGAATTCAAGTAAAGTGATTCAATATATTAAGTTTGGGATGAGGGCAAGATGAGAGCTGAGATATGAATTTGGATGTTATCTGTACATTATAAATGGTATTTGTAGCCCAGGATCAAATGTTATCAACTAGTGAGAGAGCACAAACCAAAAGAGAGTCAAGGTTTAATCTCTGGGTTACACCAACATCAAGAGATCTGCAAAGAAAAAGAATCTCCCAAGAGGAGCTTAAGTGGTCAGGGAGATCAGAGAAAAATAATGATCATAGTTTATTCTAGAAATCAAATGAATAAATGGTACTATGTACAGTATGTTCAAGAATATCAAAATCTGATAGAAGTCAAGTCATGACTCAATGACGTGTTTTAATTGACCATTGAATTTGGATAGAAATCGTTGGAAAAGTGTATAAGAATGTTTTTGACAGTATATTGTGAGCTATATTCTTATTGAAAGAGTAAAAAAGGGAATAATATATAAGGGAAATCAGATATTGAAAACTTTCTTAAGACATGTCTTATAAAATGGATGATGTGAATAGGATGGTAGTATCATGCATGTAAAGAGTTTTTTAATTTTAATATTTGGTGAGCAAATTAAAACAGGGAAAAACATCAGGAAAACGTCTTTGAGATGGCAAGATGGCAAGAGGAGATGCATCCAATGTATAATCATCAGTGCTTCTAACTAGACGGCAAGATAAATCTCTCTTTGCAACCTAAAATAAGGCAAATAGATTAAAGCATACAAGTCAAGTCCTATTTTGAGGCTTTCCTAAAGTAAACAACCAAAAAGTCATCTCTTAAATAATACACACGAATAGTTTTTCTAATGGTTATGTAAAATGTTCAACAAACTGTTTCACTTCTAAATGTAACATATTATAAGTCAACAGAGTAACAGCTAACTAGGCACTTGATAGGATCTTGCTGTTTTCTCCTCATGGCATTTGCTCTAAATTAGCTCTGAATGCCGTATGTTATTAAATTTCTTAAGAAAATATGGTTAATATGCTGTGGACAAAAATATAAAGTATATGAAAATATTTACTTGATCAAAACAAATGACAGCAACACTATTCCTTGGGCTAATTTAATAAATGCTAAATGCATTCGTGTGTTGTATGCATACAGTCCTAAGAGAAGCCTTTCATTCATCTTGTGTCCTACTCAATTCTGAGAATAAAATTATCATTGACTTCAATGAGATTTTATGTTTACCAAGTATATTGACCAAATAGGACCATACACTAAAACTTTTTCTGCATAGTTTTTAACTTAAAATATGTTATGTTCATAAAAATGATTCATAACTTATAAAATTATTATGAGAAATTTGTTATGAGTAGTAAAAAGTTTGCATGGAAATTTTGTTATAAAATTTAAGTTTTTAAAATTCTATTAGCAATACAATATCTTAGCTGAAAGCACAAATTAATTGAGTTGACCTAAATGTTGGCATTTAAATCCACAACTTTCTGGGGTTTTTTTGTTTGTTTGATTCTCTTGTTCTGCTCATAAAATACAAATAATTACAAGTTCAAGAGGATTTTATTCCTCAGTTTGATGATTTCATCACTGTTTATATGACCTCATCACTGACCTATATGAAATAAGATAGCTTCTATACAAGAAAAATGCATTTATTTGTCGTATGGGAGATGAGCAGTGATCACCAGTTTATTGCACAAAAGAAATTCTGTTTTCTAAGAAAAAAGGGGGGAAAAAAACCTCTTCCTAAATCTGCAATCTATTTAGCCCAATGTCCATTGGGAGAGAAAACAATCTAAGCAAAAACAGTTCAATTTCTATATCCACTTAAATCTGGAACATTGTGAGAAATGGTTTTAGGAGATAGCATTAAAGAACAGGTACTGTTTTTCTCTCTCTGATATTTTGGGTAGATACTATCTCTTCATGAAAGCAAAAATTACAAAGTTACTGATAACTACATTTTCCTTGAGATTGTTGGACATGGACATCTTTATTTTGGGATCTGCTTTGCCAAAGAGATTATCTTGTGCTAGGAATTTTCCCAAAAGACATCTATAAAAACTTACAATTAAAATTATACTTTATGGTAAAAGACTAAAAGCTATCCTCTAAGATTGGGAATAAGACAAGAATAATAGCTCTAAGCACTTCTGCTCAAAGTAGAACTGAAAGTTATATCCAGTGCAGTAAGGTAAGTAAATATAAATAAAAGTAATCAGATTAAAAAGATGAAGTAATATTCTTTTATTTGCAGACACCATAGTCCTATATGTAGCAAATCCTAAGAAATCTACAAAAAATACTGAAAGTAATAATTTGAGTTCAGAAAATAGGCAAGATATAAAATCAATACATACAGATGAATTTTTAGTCTATATACTAGCAATGAGCTATACAAAAATTAATTATGAAACACTTTTAAAGTTGCATCAAAAAGAAAAAAGTTTAAAATGAAATTAACAAAGAAGTGTAAGACCTGCACAATGAAAATCAGAAGGCATTACACAAATAAACTGAAGGTCATCTAAATAAATGGATAGTCATGGCAATTTCCTGACTTTAATGACTCAATTTTATTAAAATGGCAATTTAACCCAAATAGAAAAATACATTCAAAACAGTACCTATAAATAACCAAAGAATGTAAAGAATCATAGTAATTTACAAACTGATGCTGAAATTTACTCAGACATGTAAAGGAATTAAAATACCCATAGTGATATGGTTTGGCTGTGTTCCCACCCAAATCTCAACTTGAATTGTATCTCCCAGAATTCCCACATGTAGTGGGAGGGACTCAGTGGGAGGTAATTGATTCATGGGGGCCAGTCTTTCCCAAGATATTCTCGTGATAGAGTAAGTCTCATGAGATCTGATGAGTTTATCAGTGATTTCCACTTTTGCTTCTTCCTCATTCTCTCTTGCTGTCACCATTTAAGAAGTGCCTTTCATCCTCCGCCATAATTATGAGACCTCCCCAGCCATGTGGAACTGCAAGTCAAATTAAACCTCCTTTTTTCCCCAGTCTCAGGTATGTCTTTATCAGCAGCATGAAAATGGACTAATACACCTAGAAAGTTTAAAAATAAGAAAAAGAAGTTGGAGGACTTAATGATCGTCAATTTCAAAATTTACTATAACTGTGCGGTAATTAAGACACTGTGGGAGTGATATATGAGGACACACATGAGCCAATGAAATAGAATAGAAAGTTCAGAAAGACAGTGTGTAATTTTTTTTGTTTCTGGATTTTTTTTTCTGAATTTAGTTAAGGACTTTCAATTTTATCCTTATAAAATATATTTGTCTAGTTTTCTTGTGTTGTGACTCTGTCTGTCTTTAGTAAAATATTAATAATAGCCTCAAAGATGAACTGGTAAATATTTTCTCCTTATATTTTCTGTAAAAGTATTCTGTATAATCACTATTTTTGCTCTTTAAATACTTGATAGAATTCAGCCAGTAAAGGCATCCGGGCCTGGGGAAGTTTTTAATTACTAAACCAATTTATTTACTTATTGTAAGTATATTCAGATTTTTCATATTTTCTAGAAAGAATTTTGGCAAGAAGTGTTTTATTATTAGTATGCTGACTCAGTGTAAGTTGTCTAATTACATAGGATACATTTATTTACAATATTCCTTTATTATAGCATCTCTTTAATTCTTAATTACTCTATTTGCCTTTCCTCTCTTATTTGCTTCTTTTCTTCTCTTGCTTCTCTTTTTGTCAACCTAGCTAAAAGTTGATCAATTATTTGATTCTTTCTATGAATGAATTTTGGTTTCATTGAGTTTTCCAGTTGCTTCTCTCTTTTACTTATATTTATTTCCCCTCCGACATTTATTATTTATTTTTTCAGCTTCATTTTTGCTTAATTTGTTCTTCTTTTCTAGTTTTTAGGATGAAACCTCGCTTGTTATTTCATGTATTTTTTATAATATAGGCATTTGAAACTAATAATTTCACTTTAAACATTGTTTTAGTTGCATCACATAAATTTTGATAGTTGTGTGCTAGTTTTCATCTAGTTTAAAACATTTTCTAACTTCCCTTGTAAATTGTTTTTGACTATTACGTATTGTACAGTTTAATTTCTAAATATCTGGAAATTTCTCTTAATATCTTTGTGCTGATAATTTTAAGTTAACTTTATTGGTTCAGAAAACAAACTTTGAATATTTCAGTATTTATAAATTTGTCGAGACTTGTTATAGGGCCTCTTTTATGTTCTGTAGTAAAGAATGTCCAATGTGTGTTTGCAAAGAATAAAAGAATATTTCTTTCTTTTCTTTTCTTTTTTTTTTTTTTTTTGAGACAGAGTCTCACTCTGTGTCCCAGGCTGGAGTGCAGTGGCTCAATCTCGGCTCACTGCAACCTCGGCCTCCCAGGTTCAAGCAATTCTCTTGCCTCAGCTTCCCAAGTAGCTGGGACTACAGGCATCTGCCACCATGCCTGGCTAATTTTTGTATTTTTAGTAGAGATGGGGTTTCACCATATTGGTCAGGCTGGTCTCGAACTCCTGACCTTGTGTTCTGCCCACCTTGACCTCCCAAAGTGCTGGGATTACAGGCATAAACCACGGTGACAGGCCTAAACAATATTTATTTCTGTTGTTAGACTAAGTGTTCTCTCTCTCTCTCTCTCTATATATATATATACACACACACATATGTATTTATACATATAAATATATGTAAATATATATAAATATATGTAAATACATATTCATATATATATATATACCAATTATATATTTTTGTATCAGTTGATTCAAGTGAGTTGATAGTTTTACTTCAGTCTTGAATATGTTTATGGATATTTTTGTCTAGTTATTCTGTCAAGTCTCAAGAGTGAGTTATTGTCATCACAAATCATAATCACTAAGTTATCTATTTTTTCAAATATGTCAGTTTTCAATTTATGTAATGTGAAATTTTATTTTTAGGTGAATATATGGTTATAGTTGTCATACCTTCTACGGGTATTAACCCTTTTATTATTATAAAATACTCCTTTATTCTATGGTAATATTTATTGTCTTGATATCTATTTTGTATGATTATTTAATATAAACGTTCCTGCTTATTTACCATATTTTTCATAATACATTTTTCCGTTTTAAAAAATAACATATTTAGAAATATATTTGGATCTCATATTTTATCTTATCTGACAATATCTGAAGTTTTATGGGAATTTTAGTCTATTCTTATTCAATAAAACCATCTTTGTACTCTATTTATGTCTGGCATTTTTTTGTTTTCTATATGGATTATATTTATTTTGTTCCCTCTGTTGAACCTTTACTGTCTTATCTTTTGGTAAATAAATATTTCTGGTGTGTCATTTAAAGTCTTCTGTTGATGTATTTTATGTGTACTTCTGAGTTATTTTCTTAGTTTATCAAGAAATTACAAGTGACTATCATAAACTACTTCAGGTTAATATTTTTTTGATAAAATATAGCAAGCTTCTGAAAGAGAAAGTATTTAGGGGGTTTTCAAATGTTTTCCAATATCTTACCATTGCCTTTGCTGTTTATTTTTTTCTACGGATTTGAGTTACAGTCTAGTGACACTTTCTTTTAGCCTGAAGGAATTTTTTGGCTAAAAAATTCCTTCTAGAAACAAATTCTCTCGAGGTTATTGTATTTTTAAATTCTCTATATGTATTTACTTTGCTTGTGTTTCTAAAACGTTTTTTGGCTAAGATGGAACTCTTTGATAATAGTTATTTTCTTTCACCATATACAATGTACAATTTGATTGGCTTCTGGCTTCATTTGTTTAAGATGAGACATCCACTATAAATTGTATAGAGTCAGCTGTAGATTGTATAGTTGTTCCCTTGAATATGATGTCATTTTGTTGTGTTGCTATTAAGAGATGTCTTTGGGTTTGTATTTTGGTAATTTGACAATTATTTGTTTAGAAGTGGATCTTTTTCATGTTCATCTTATTTGAGATTTAGTAAGCTTTTTAAATTTGTAGATTTTTTCAATCAAATTTATTTCAGTCATTATGTTTTCTAAGATATTATTTCTTTCCTTTCTTCCTCTCTTCTCTTCTCGGACTATGTTAGTGCACTTTATGTCTTCCCACAGGTCTGATGCTTTGCTCTTTTGTCTTCAAATGTCATTTTATCTTGGTTGTCTAGGGTTTATAATTTACATTGAATAAACTTCAACTTCTCTGATTCTTTCACCTGCTATTTAAATGTGTCCACCATTATTAATATTTGCTATAATCATTTGGAAGATACTTACATTAAATTAAAACAGGGCATATGGTTAGGTTGAGCAATAGCAAGCATAATCACAACAAGGTTTAAGTTGAAAAATGGGGCTTTCTCAAAAATTAGAAAATGTAATGTCCTATTTTTCCAATGTTGGCTGAGAAGTTGGAATTTTTCTTACAGTGGAATTATGTTTCTATTTTAAACATACTTTTAAATGTAAATAATACCTATTATTGGAGAATTTATGCATAAAGCCATAATTTAATAAACATTTCCCAGTGAGTACATATACAGTTTAGAAAGAAATCTACTCTCTTATTTGTTGAAAAATCTTGATTTAATTTTTTTAAAGATAAAAGCTTGAGGAATCTTCAAAAATTAGGTATTTGGGCTCTAATTAAAAATTTCTAGTAGCAAGAGCTGCCTCATAGAACAAACAATCTGATTGTTGACATGAAATATTCATTCTAAAGATTCAAAATGAACACAAGTCCATTTTCATGTTTCTAGAAATATCTTTTATGGCATCTTGTATATAGTTTCAAAGTTGCTTTTGTATTGTTGCACGAATTAGTAGTGACATAAATCATCTTTCCAAGAACTCTCTCCAAGAGTTTTCCAAAAACTCTCTCAGTATTCAATTGTTTAGATGAATACATACAGGGAAGTTTATTCAAGCACAAAATTGTAATAAGGAACTGCAAACTTAACCATTCTACAACTTATCTAAAACATAATTATAGGTTTTTAAAAGGACCAGCTCATATAAAAGAAAAAAATATTAATTGAAGTTATGTATAGAGCATATCAGAGTGTTGGCAAACATACCCATTGTGTAGGCTATCCACCCTCTATTCACTGCCAACATTTTTCAGACTAATGTCTGGCCTTAGTCCTCTTAAATATATTTCTTTAAAAATTAACAAAAAATATAATTTTCAAATCTCAAGGTATATAAATCGGCACTATTTGAAATATGGTAATTTATTTCTGGAAAATCTGAATTTTTCTACATTCCATTTATATTTCCACTTAGGTTAATTTAGTATTTTATTATCTATAGTTTGATTTCTGTCAATTTGACTTCCACCAAAGTATTCACTATCTACACTGACTACATATATATGTGTGTTTGCATAAATACAGATATATGCATCAGTATGCTATACACCTGAAAAAATGTAAACTTTTTTAAAAAGGGGCGTTTCTCTAAAACTAGCTAGCAGTATTTCAGTGTTTTAAATACTAACCAAATACTGTCACTATTTTCAACAACCCTAGATGTAGAAACTCTAGTTATTCCTATCTTCTAGTTGGAGGAACTGAAGCATTGGAAGGTCATTTACCATGTACAGGGTCATACATTTACTAAATGACAGAATCAGGTTTGGAATAAATGGGAATTGATTCCAGAGCCTGTGTTCTTAACCACGTTCTCCAGAAAACTTGTACTACTATTCTGTATAATCAATCAGGTTTTAAAAATAAAGTAAACAAATCCAGTGGTATCTTTGGATTAAAAGTTATTTTTTATAACTTAATCACTGGATCACTTAATAAAGAGGAGAAGCACTTTCCTGTATTTAACCGGCCTACAAGCAATTCCTGGCTTTAAAATGAATTTATGTCATAAACCCTCCTATATTGCTGAGGATAAAGATGCAGAAAATAACTTAGAACTGCTTTGACAAACAAGTTCATATAATGATGTAATTTCCATGTAAAATAAAAATGAGTGTATTTTAGTCTCCATGGAACACAGAAAACACTAAAAACAAAAAAGAGGGAAATGTCAATAACTATATACACCAAAGTATTAAATTAGCCATATAGGGCACAGTTGGGTAGGAGCAAGGAATAAATACTTTCTCTTTTTATTTTTCACTTCTCAAATTTATTTAAAATTATTACACTGGGCATCTATTTAATCTAAAATTAATATTTTAAATCAATAAATATAAGAGATTCAAAAGGATATTTAAATGCATATAATATCTAGGGAGTATAAATATGTTTATCATGCTGAATCTCTCCAAGCACATGGTATCTCTTTCCATTTCTTAATATATATTTTTGTGAATTGCAATTTTTTAAAAAAAATGACTAATTTTCTTTAAATGTTTCAAGTCAACAGATACAGGACAAATAAAGCAATAATATGTAAAAGCTATATAAAAGAGTATTTTTAAAACATTTTGCAGTTGTCTTTTGCAAATATTTTCCCCAAGTCTATGGCGTTTGTCTTCTCATTCTCTTGACAGTGCCTTTTGAAGAGGAGAAGTTTTTAATTTTAATGAAATCCATCTTATTTCTTTTTAGTGAATAGTGCCCTTGAAGTTCTCTGTAAAAGTCATTGTCATACCCAAGATAATAAGGGTTTTTTTCCTATGGTGTCTTCTAGGAGTTGTAGATTTTTGTATGTTACATTTAGTTCTATGAGCCATTTTAAGTAAATATTTTTGAAGAGTGTAAGGTCTGTATTTATACTCATTTTTTTGCATGTGAATGTCCAGTTGCCCCGCATCATTTGTTGAAATATTATCTTTGTTCCATCATATTTCCTTTGCTCTTTTATCAAAGATCACTTGACTATAAGTGGGTATATTTCTAAGCTCTCTACTCTGTTCCACTGGTTTATTAGTCTATTATTTTGCTAATACCACACTGCCTTGATTACAGAAGACTTATAAGTCTCAAAATCATATAGTGTCAGTCTACTCACTTTGTTCTTTTCCTTCAATATTGAGTTGGCTATCCTGGATATTTTACCTCTTCACATAAATTTTAGGATCAGTCTGTCTACATCCACAAAATAATTTGCTGGGAGTTTAATCAGGATTGTATTGAAACTACAGATCAAGATCTTGGGAAGCACTGATGTCTTAACATATATGAGTCTACTTATTTATGGACATGACATATCGTTCCATTTATTTAGTTCTTCTTTGATATTAGTTCATTTCTAAAACGTCTTTTAGTTGGAATTATAGAGTATGTAGCATTTTCAAACTGGCTTCATTAACTTAGCAATATGCTTTACATTTTCTCCATGTCTTTCAAGCCTTAAAGCTCATTTCTAAATAATATTCGACGATATGTTTATCAGTGAGTAGCACATTTAAGTTCCCTGCCAGCCCATGGAATTTTTTAAATCCTATATAAGCAGAGGGGATATTCTATCCTATTGGTACTATAAAGCCTGCCTCCAAAAGTCTCTGATAGCTCACTCTGATCCTGAGTGAACATTTAAATGGCCCTGCCTGGCATGTGATATTCCTTCTCTCCCAGGTTGTGAATACATCTGATTTTAAACTTCTGTTGACCTCATCTGTCCAGTGTCTTATGTCATGCATTTGGACATCCTCATGAACTAGGGTGGTAATCCCTCTTTTACTAACAGGATGAATGTAAGGTGATTGCAAAAAGTTGATAAGATTTTAATGTATACCATTATTCATATTATTCTGAAAATAAACATGACATTTGTGGGGCAGAGATAAATACATTATTATAATTATTATACTCATCCCCAGCAATAACAGATCTTCCCTTTACCTCATTTCTTTTCTCCTGGGGCAATGTGATGATAGCTTATCCTATACATTCTGGGTTTTGAATTACAGGTAAAGAACCATGTTTGCTTAATTTCAGAAAAGTTTTCTTCAATTATATTTTGAATTGTTTTTTTCAGGTTTTCCCTGCCAACCCCAATTATGCATATTTTAGGTTTGCCTTTTCCTATAATTCATATCTATAATTTTTCACTTTAATATACTGTTTTTTCTTTCTTTATATTTGTATCATTGTATTCACATTTTTCTATTCTCTATGTTCTCATTATGTTTTGTGTCATGTCTATTTTCTTCAGTCTTTCTTATTTATTCATAATTTTAAAAAATTATAAAGATTTTTCAGAACCCATTTTACATTTCATTGTACTTTACTCATCATGTTGCACTTATTATTTGACTATTACTTGAATTCCTGTGTATCTACTTTGGTATTACTTCATAAATCTAATTGCTTTTTTTTAAATTTATATTGGAATTGGGTTATCATTTTCTAAAAAATCATTGTTAAAACATTTTTCTGGTGATATTTTATTATTATTATAAATGGTATGTTGATCATTTTAATATTCAAGTCTAATTCTATGAATCTTTGAGTATTCCTTTTCTGGCATTTGTGTTGGAATGAATTAATTTTTCTGACTAATAGCAAGAGGTTTTTGTGGACTGGAGAAAGGGAGTAGCTTGTGAGGTTTCACATTTTAAGGTCTCCCACCTCTGTTATTATAGTGGTGGACTGTTTTCTTAATTCATGCCACCAGTGTGTGGCCACTCTTCCTGTGACCCTCAGAACCTAATCTATTTCATAAGGACTTCTACTAATGGACTGTGTTTTCTTTCATTACTGTACAGTCCACTGTTTCCAAGAGACAGAGTCCTTTTCTTTAAATGTGAAGCAGTCACTTTTAGAAGTTGTATTTGGCAGGGACTTTATGAGATCAGTCACCTCTGGGTATTCCCACACACTTCTGTGCCTTCTTTCTTCTCAATTTACAGTGATAATATTATACTTACTACAGATTATTATCAGGATGGAACTTTTTTTATTCTGGGAGTGGATAGATGCTAGAGGTACTTGAAATATACAACCACAAGAAGATTTTCCTCCCAAGTCTTCTTCCCATGTGGGCTTGCTAGCTGGCTTAGCCCTTTGGCCACATTTAGAACAGATAAGGAATTTGCAAGATTTTCTGTCTCCTCATTTAGATGAAAATGTAGTTTTTATCTTTTAAAAAAATAGTTTTGATGCTCTGGTTGGTTTTCTAAATGAGAAGTTAAAAAAGTAAAAAATTAAATTATTTACAGCAAAAATAAACATTTTCTCTTAAAAATTTTTGTTAAATATAAATTTAATATTCGGTGTGTGCTTTCACTTGGTTTCAACCCAATTACACTTGGTTACAACCCAATTATTTCAAAGAAAACTTGATATATCCTTTACATTGCAATGATTTAGAGAAAAATGAAACCAAAGGCTAAAGATAAATCCTAATTTTCTCAACAGTCTATTACAATGCATGTGTCTATGTGTATAATAAAAAAACTATTGAAAATGTAATATTTAACCCGGCTCATATTTATAGTACTTTTAACAGTAAAAAATAGAACACTTGATTAAAATTTGTACTATTGGAAAATAAAAATGAAATGTACACAGTACAATAAAGAGATAAATTTTGTTATGCCCTTAATATTAGAATGTAGGGAACATTGTGATTTTTAAAAATTTAACTCACAATAAGTATTTTAATTCTATTAACCTGACCTCAACTTCTTTTACTGTTATCCAAATAATTTATTTTATTGGGAATGATTTTTTCACTTAAAGCTACTCTCTCTTACTCTCTCTCATGTTCAGTCTGTCTCATACTACTATTCCAATTAATGTAGCATATATTATAGATCCCAACAATTCTCTTTCTCTCTCTGTTTTTCTCATGCTAACATTATACTTGATGTGGCTTCAGTTGTAAAGCCCAATAATTATCTCCACATTTCAATACCATTATCTTATATAATATGTTGCCTAAAATTCAAATATGTTATTATTGAAGTTATTTATTGGAAAGTTAGGAGATACTGATAAAAGTATTTTAAAATTATGTAACCATAATTACTTTTTCCAAATTTGAATCACTGTTATCAAAATCAATATCTCGGAAAATATTCAACTTATTTTTTGGAAAAAAATAGGGTAATGTTCATAGTATCTTTAGAGGTAGGTGATAAAATATATTTCATTAGTGACACTAGAACTAAATAGTATATATAATGATGTATATGAATTATAATCATTATAATTAAAAACTTGCAAAAATAGTAAGATAATCCTAATATCTCATACTTCTTTCTGCTGTGTAATTTTAGATCTTAGGATTCTGAGGATAACTCTCAATGTTACATGCTTTTCTCCCCACAATATTTTAAAAGAATTTACTGCTCATTCAGAAGGCTGTAAAATGCTATTTATAAGCTAATGCTATTAGTATGTTTACCAAATGTAAAGCAGAGTTATTTAAATTATCAATAACACAAATTCCATTCTGTAAATCGCCTAAGATGGTGAGACAAAAAGTGCTACCATTTAAGTTTGTACTAAGAGAATTTCTAGAAAAAAAATATCTGTAATCTACGTAAAAACTGTCTATCAATGCAGGAGTGAGGCTTAGGGAAGACATGAGGGAGGCCTATGAACAGATGAAGAATATTGAAATCTCTCCTGGTGGATGCCTGGATCTAATTAAGTGGGATAAAGAATCACAGTAGTCCAAATGTAAAGCTCCAAAAAAAAAAATTTCCTCATAAGTCCATGAAGAATATCATTAATGTCTATTTACCTCCTCACAAACTTAAGAACTGGTTATACCTTGGTCTTGGGAGCCGTGGATAGCTCCTTCATACCTGACCATGTTGTATATATGGTGTTTGGAAGAGACTTCATGTTTTGTTTTGTTTTTGTTTTTGTTTTTGTTTTTGTTTTTGACAGATTCTTACTCTGTCACCCCAGTTGGAGTGTGCAGTTTCATGACCTCGGCTCACTGCAAACTCCACCTCCAAGGCTCAAGCGATTCTCCTGCCTCATCCTCCTGAGTAGCTGGGATTACAGGTGTGTGCCACCACTGCCAACTAATTTTTGTATTTTTAATAAAGGTGGGATTTCACCATGTGGGCCAGGTTGGTCTCAAACTCCTGACCTCAAAATTATCCACCTGCCTCGGCATCCCAAAGTGCTAGAATTACAGGCGTGAGCCACCACAGCCAACCTCATGTTTTTTACATCTCCTGTGATAGTCAGGACTCTCGGTTCTCCAGAGAAACAGAACGTATCTATCAATATCTCTATCTATCTATCTATCTATCTATCTATCTAATCTATCAATCATCTATATATCTATATACAGACATAAATATACAGGCACACTTCAAATATACTGCAGGTCCAGTTGCAGACCACTGCAATAAAACAAGTCACACATTCTTTTTGTTTGTTTCTCAGTATATATAAAAGATATTTTTATGCTCTACTGTAGACTGTTAAATGAGTAATACCATTATGTCTAAAACAACCGACGTACTTACCTTAATTAAAAATATTTTATTGCTAAAAAATATTAACACGACCTAAGTCTTTGGTGAGAGGTATTCTTTTTGCTAATGGAAGGTCTTGCCTGAATGTTGATGGCTGCTAACTGATCAGGGTGGTGATAGCTGAATGTTGGAGAGGCTGTGGCATGTTCTTCAAAAAAAAAAAAAAAAAAAAAAGAAAAGAAAACAAAGTTTGTTGCATGGATTGGTTCTTCCTTTTAGGAAAGATTTTGTGTAGTATACCATGCTGTTTGATAGAATTTTACCCACAGTAGAAATTTCTTTCAAAATTGGAGTCAGTCCTCTTGAGCCCAGCCACTGTTTTATCAGCCAAGTTTATTTAATATTTAAAATACTTGCTTGTCATTTCAACAATGTATATAGCATCTTCACCAGAAGTGGATTCTGTCTCAAGAAACCACTTCGTTTGTATATCCATAAGAAGCAACTCTTCATCTGTTCAAGTTTTATCATGAGATTGTGGCAATTCAATGACATCATGATGCTCCACTTATAATTTGAATTCTCTCACTATTTCCACCTCATTTGCAGTGACTGCCTCCACTGAAGTCTTTAATGTCTCAAAGTTATTCACACATTTTGGAATCCACTTCTAAAGTCCTGTTAATGTTGATATTTTGACTTCCTTCCATAAATCACAAATGTTCTTAGTGACATCTAGAATGTTGAATTCTTTCTGGGAGGTGGTCAATTTTCTTTGCCCAGATTCATCAGAGGAATCAGTAACTATGGCAGCTATAGCTTTACAAAATTTATTTTAAAAATTATAAAACTTGAAAGTCAAAATTATTTCTTGAGCCATGGGCCAAAGAATAGTTTTTGTTAGCAGACATTAAAACAACATTAATCTTATTGTACATCTGTCTCTACCAGAGCTTTGGAGTGACTGGATGCATTATTAATGAGCAGTAATATTTTGAAATAAATCTTTTGTTCTGAGCAGTAGGTCTCAACAGTGAGTTTAAAATATCCCATAAACCATGTAGTAAAGAGATATACTGGATGACCAGGCTTTATTGTTCCATTTATAGAACAAAGGCAGAGTAGAGTCAACGTAACTCTGAAAGTGCCCATGATTTTTAGAATGGTACATAAGCACTGGCTTAAACTTGAAGTCAACAGCTGCATGTGCCTCTAACAAGAGAGTTGGTCTGCCCTTTGATGCTTTGAAGCCAGGCATTGACCTCTCTGCTCTAGCTATGAAAGTCCTAGATGGCTTCTGCTTTCAGTAGAAGGCTGTTTTATCTACATTGAAAAATCTGTTGTTTAATGTAGCCACCTTTATCAACTATCTTAGATCTTCTGGATAACTTGCCGCAGCTTCTATAGCCTCACTTGTTACTTCATTTTGTACTTTTATTTTAGGGACATGTCTTATTTTGTAAATATTATAAGGTTTGCTGACTTCAAACTTTTCTTCTCCAGCTTCCTCACCTCTCTCAGCCTTCATAGAATTGAAGAGAAATAGAGCATTGCTCTGGATTAGGCTTTGATTTAAGGGAACATTGTGGCTGGACTAATCTATCTAAGCTACCAAAACTTTCTCCATATCAGCATAAGGCTGTTTTGCTTTCTTACCATTCATGTGTTTGCTGGAGCAGCACTCTGAATTTATTTCAAGAACTTTTTCTTTTCATTCACAACTTGGCTGTTTTGGGCAAGAGACATAGTTTTCAGCATATCTAAAGCTTTTGACATGCCTTCTTCACTAAGTTTAATCATTTCTAGCTTTTGATGAAAAGTGAGTGACGTGCCACTCTTCCTTTCACTTGAACACTTAGAGGCCATTGTAGGGCTATTAGCCTAATTTCAGGGAATAGGGAGGCCTGAGGAAAGGGAGCATGACTGAAAACAGCTGGTTGGTGGAGCAGATAGAACACACACAACATTTATGGATTAATTTTACCATCTTATATGAGCATGGCTTATGGCAGCCCAAAACAGTGACAATAGTACCATCAAAGATCACGAATCACATATCACCATAACAGTTATAATAATAATGAAAGAGTTTGAAATATTGTAAGAATCACCTAATTATAACAGAGAGACACAGTGTGATCACAAGCTGTTGGAAAAATGGTGCTGACTTCCCTAACCCAGGGTTGCCACAATCTTTCAATTTGTAAAAACCTCAATATCTTTGAAGAACAATAAAGAGGAATTTAAAAAAAAACACAAGGTATGCCCGCTGATTTGTATACATAAATGAAATTAAAAATAAGACTTAATAAAGGAAGTGGTTTACACCATGTAGAGGCTAAGAAGTTCAGTAATCTGCCATCTACAAGCTGGATACCCAGGAAAGCCAGTAATGTATTTGAAAGACCTGAGAGCCTTACAGCCAGAGATACAGTGGTATAGATTCCATTCTGATTCTAAAGTCCTGAGAACCAGGATCACAAATAGAAGAAGATGGATGTCCCAGCTTAGCAGTCATTGCTGACTGTGAATTCAACTTTCCCCTGCCATTTTGTTCTACTCAGTCCCTCAAAGGTTTGGATGATGCCTGTCTATGCACACTGGGGAGGGCCATCTGATTTACTCAGTCCACGAAGTGAATTGCCAATCTCTTCCTAAAACATCCTTACAGACACACTAAGAAATTATGTCTAACCAGATATATGGCATCTGATGATTAGTCAAGTTAACACATAAAACTGGCCATCACATTCCCCATTTAAACTTTTGACATATCAACTTAGAGGAAATAAAGAAACAACAATACGCTTTTTAAAAACCAGGAAATTCTGGGATTTTTTTTTAAGTTTATTCAAAAAATAATATTAGAGAAAAACTCAGTTACTGAAAATAGAAGTATATTTAGATTTGAAACAAAAAGCCACACAAGAATTTCTGAAGTTATTTAATATGCTTAAGCATACTTTATTCCTTTATTTTGTAAGATTAAGATAGGCATTGTCCAGGAGGGAACACAGGTTCCCAGAGATTGATGGCCTGCCCACCACTACATGTGTACAGTCAAAAAATAACTAAAAATAGAGCTTTGATTTCACAATTCTACTCCAGGATTCAGATCACCTTAGGGTTTCATGAGATCATATTACCATAACGTATGATTTATTTTTTGGACACTATAAAGTACCATTATCCTAATGAGAATATGTCCACCGTGTTTGTACAAATTATATATAGCCCATAAATTGCTCAAGAGTATCGTGTTTATCTCACATATCAAATAATTGGTCTTACATATAATCTTTACATAATTCACAAGTGCCTATGATTAGGTTGGTGCAAAAGTAATTGTGGTTTTTGCCATTGCTTTTAATGGCAATACCGCAATTACTTTTGTACCAACCTAATAGCTACCTCTGCCTTGTAGTAAAGTATTAGTACCATTATATTTTCCCCCACCCTCACAAAAAAATCACAGCCTCTCTTCCTTCTTTCTTTAGAATTGTCTGGAGTGTAGAGGTGCATAGGTGATAGTTGTACAGACCTTTTCAAAATTTGTCACATCTGACATAATCATATTGGTAGAAATTGTAGTGGTGTGATGCAGATTTCATTATTATTACAGGTTTTTTATCTCTTCAGCAAAAGTTGTACTTCTCTCTAGTTTAGAGTCCACTGAGTGAGAAAAGGTTGAGTTTTTAGTTCAGAAAACACAGGGTTATTACCTGATTGCCTCTACTGTAAATTTCAATAACAATTTTTAAGAATATCTACCAACTCGTTGTCTGCCATATCTTTTTCTTGAAAACTGTGGCGGAAATGAAAAGATTTATAATATCATTATCATGTTTGTCATGTTTTCATCATAAGAAACATCTTTGAAAACATGTCTCACAATGTCAGCTCAGAGGAGAGTAAATGACAAAGTATTTTAATTTAGAAAATATCTCAGAAAATATAGGTAAACTCACCCACAGGTTAAAGGGTTTTTCTAAAGTTTTACAATTAATTAGTTAGTGGGTTCTGAAAGAAATTCTGTTCTTGTGACTTTAATTTAGGTTTTTAAAATTGTCCAGCAATCTGCTCATCTATTAGTTATCATTTTAAAAAATTTGGGACAACCATGAAAAGAAAAGAGAAAAATAGGTTAATAACAAGGATTTTTAACTTTAAGATAAAAAACAGGTAGGAAAGAAATCCATGTTGGTAAAAATTCTCTAAAATGAATTTCATACTGTAACTTATGGATGGCAGAAGATTGATTCTAATAATATTGTAATTACAAATATTTCTATAGATCATATAAAATAGAGCTTTGTTATGCACAAGAAACCTCTTCTCAAATTAGCAAAGAAAGTTTCAAAATGGAATTTCCCTTGAATGGTGGGTAAATAAAATTAATTATTAAGTGAATGAGCTGAGTAACATGTAAATCTGTCTTATTTCTCATCATCAAGTATTAACGTTCCTATGCGGTAACTTGTAAATAGTAAAAAATGTTCTATGTAAAGCATATTAAATTTGGAGTTTTTGAGTCTACTTACTAATATATGTCCATTATAGGTGACTTAATGAAAGCAAAGCAAAGCAAAAATTGAGAAATTTTGAACCCAAGCTATATTTGTAGTAGTCTACATAATAAAAATGTTAGACTATTTAAATACAATTTCTCATTTCTAATACAATTTCCAGTTCCTTTTCGTGAAACCATTGAACATCCTAAAAAAAATTCTTTTTTGGATTTTTCAAATTCTGCTGACTCTTTCTGGCCTACCATCATCACCTTCCATTCCAGTCTCTGCTTGGATGTTGCTTTCTTTTTTAAAGGCCTTATACTCCATTTCCTATGGTTTAATCAAGTTGTTTATAATCAAGGTTTTTTTAATATTGGTTGATATGTACAGAGGTTTACTCCTTCCAATAACAAGTTTGCAGCTAATGCAACTAGTTTTACTTTTTCCACAGTTCTGGTTTGTCTCTGTTGTACAGGTACACATGGGAGTGACTGAGAGTTTTATCACACCTTCAATTCAAAATTAGTTCCTCTTTCCTGAGAAAAACAAGAATCACATTTATCTAGCAGACTATAGAAATCAAGAAGTTAACAAAGTGAAGGGATTTCAGAAACAGGAATATGAAAATAAATATTAAAGAGCTGGAAGATGGAAAGAAAGGAAGAAGACAGAAGAAAAATTGCCCAGAATCTGTTTTGTAGCTTGCTTATTTGTTTTGTAACTTATTTATTTGTTTTATATTTTTAATCCAGTGAAGAAAAGCTTCCTGGTTTTTAACTCAGTTTAAGATACTGGGGAAATATTAAAACACAGTTGGAAATTAGGGCAATAGAGAGAGCTTTTTAAAAAACTGTGGTCTGGCTTGAAATTTTCTACATTGGGCAGAAATGTCCTCAGTACATTGTTTTCTGAATAAAGATGAACACATAGCTCCATTCTAGCTTTTGAACATTAGTGAATGGTTTATTAAATATTTGGCATGCTACATAATGGTAACTATGTAACAACTGTCAAATACACTACTAATACATAACAACTGATGAGAGAGCAAGGTGACCACATTGGGAAGGTTGATGATAACAACTATCATTTTTGAGTCTTATGTGCTAGGTATTGTTTTAATCATTGCTGTGAGACTGGCACGTCATAAAATATACCAAGAGTGTAAGCATATGTGTAAGCCAATGGTGAATTTTACGACACACCATTCTCATAGTTCAGAAGTTCACACACCTTCTGAACTAGGTGCTATGAATATTCTAATTCTATAGAAACTTAAAGAGAAATATAAGGAAAATGTCTGGAATATTAAAGCCCAAAAGAATTCCTGAGAACAGAGCATCTGTACTAAACTCAAAATATGGGTCTGGGCTCAGCCCATTTGGAGGCTGAGGTGGGTGGATCAAGAGGTCAAGAGATTGAGACCAACCTGGCCAACATGGTGAAGCCCCATCTCTACTAAAAATATAAAAATCAGCTGGGTGTGGTGGTGTGCACCTGTAGTCCCACATACTTGGGAGGCTGAGGCAGGACAATTGCTTGAACCCAGAAGGTGGAGGTTGCAGTGAGCCGAGATCATGCCACTGCACTCCAGCCTGGTGACAGAGTTAGACTCCATGTTTCTCTCTCTCTCTCTCATGTATATATATGAATGACAGAGCTAGACTCCATCTATCTATATATATATACATATGGATACACTGAAACGCAAAGGCTTTCACGTCACTCTCCACAAATTTTGAACCTATTACAAATCTAATGGCCTCAGAACTTGTGTACACAAGTATACAATGATTGTCATGGAAACTATTAGCTCATAATAAGCTTTGGATTCTGTTGAATTTCAGAATTTTAGAGATGATAAGATGAATGACTGTTAGAGATGGAAGGGACTCAGAGAGCCTCTGAACTGCTTTCTAAATTCACAGATTGAAAATCTAAAACCCACAGAGTTCAAAGACCTTACTCAAAGTCAAAGAGCTAGTGGGTGGTCAAGCTTACATTAATTCTAGATTTGTCTAGATTGATGGATTCTGCATTCTACCATCTAAGATTAAAATTTGACTGGAAGAATACTCTAGATGTTCAGTCAAAAGCTAAAGGTTAAAATTTGCATGAAATAACTCATGAATTCTATTTCCATTGTTTCAACTGAAAATTATTTGCAAAATAAATGTGCGTGTACATTATAAATTTGATTGGCAATATTGATTTAAAACGGAGGTTATCAATATTTTTTAAGTACAAGGTGTCAGAATTGTATTGAACTCCTAAAAGAATAAACCCAAAATAAGTTTTAAAATATGACCAAAATTTGATATTAAAATCACAGAAAAGAGTAATAGAACCCTGGATTGAGAATAAAAATGACTGTATTCTGCCTTAGAATGTACTCCTTTAAATGAACAGTAATTCCTTGAAGAAGTCTCTGTGCATATCTAAATTTAATTTTCTTCATTGCACACTAAGGTATTTGAATTTAATAATATCTGTGATTCTTCCTAACACTGTGTTCCCATACCTGTTTGATCTTTAATTACTCAGTCCTATTGAAATTTTTCTCTAACAGTAAACCTACTTTTCTGTTTCTTTTATTCTAAATTATTTTACTGTCTATTGTCATATTCACTTTCCTAAACATTTTCATGATAACAGCATTCATCCAGAATTTTTAATGACTGTTTGTTCCATTCTAAATAAAACTCAAATGCATGATCTTGAAATTTAGGACATTTTTCTTTATTTTTTTTCAATAGTGGGCTCATAAACATACTTTCAACCTGTATTAACCACTTCATCTAGTTTAGGAAAATTTAAAAACTATCTATGGATATCAATAGTCATAATTCCATAGGATAAAACTACTCTCTTTTTCCTTTAATGAAAACAAATCATTTATCCCAGTGTATTTTTCCTTATTAAAAACACATACGTTTTTGCATATTTTATATACTGAGTTGTTTGCTTCATTCACCCTTATTATTTCTAGTTTAGTTATATATATATTGATTATATTTTTAACCATTAATAACTAACTTCCTTTTACAGAGAAAACCAGGAAGTAGAAAATTGTCATTTACTAGCATTCTCTAGCAGAGTAACAAATGTATGCATATACTATTTTATAATTAAAGGGGCATATACATTTCCAAAGTATAATTTTTAGATGGCATAAAACTGTTTATTAACAGAACATATATAATCATAGTCTCTGTATTCCATAAGATGTCAAAAGTATGTAATCTTGAACATATGTTAGTAATTAAGTTTCAGTAGTTTACTTTATTTAGAAATGGCCCAGACATTTAATAAATATCTATTACTTAACTTGGCATAGCTTTAGTTACAAGTTATTTTAAAAATTATCTTTAGGCAGACATATGATAACATTAAACAAAGCTAACTCTCATCTCAAGTTATTTCCCTGTTAAGTATTTTATAGCACTTGCACGGTATGCAAAGCATCACAAAAGCATAAACCTAAAAAGTTAAATACGTGAAGTTTTGTTTATTTTTATTTCTGTGCTTGATATACATGAAGTAATGTATTTCAAGCAGTTCATTTTTATTGTATCTTTACTTGTACATTACTTGTACTTGTACATACATTTGATTGTATCTTTACTTGTACATTTGTTCTTAGGTTGAATTTTTATTTTTAATAATCTTAAACATCTAATAATAGAAATAAACACCTTAATTAACTAGTAAATCCAGGTAGAATAAAAATATATGCCAATATTATAATTAATGATGAAATACCAATTTTTATTTAACTAACAATATTGAACTAATTTTATTTATCAAAAGATGTTTACCCAAGTCATGTGAACATGTAGAGCATTTGGATTAGTTTCCATATTCCTGGAAGGCTTAGAAATATTTAATTTAGTACCTGGTTTGGTGGCACACACTTGTATTTCCAGCAACTGGGGAGGCCGAAGCAGCAGAAACACTTGAGCCAAGGAATTTGAGGCTGTAGTGTGCTATGCTATGATCACACCTGTGAAGAGCCACTGCATTCCAGTCTCTAAAATATATGTAAGAAGTCTTGGGGTTTTTTTTAATGATTAAGGACATGATAAAAGTGAACATAACACATGGGATATTAATTTGATAAGACACAAGATTGTGGTTTCCTAGGCAGATTATTGAAAAGGTAAAGAAAAACATTTTACTATCTCTTATTAAAAGCAGACTAATAATCTTAAAAAAAAGTAATATGTAAGAAAACAAAATATCCAGTTTGTTTCTAATTAACCTTTTTTTTCTTTTCAGCTTCTGATAGTTGCTTTTGGGGATCGATGAATCGCTTGAGAATCTCTGATTGGGCAAAAGGCCTAAGTGTCTATAAGAAGCTGAGGAGCTGGAGTGGGAGCAGAAACGTCTGGCAGGGTGAATGGAGGTGAGGAAGAGGCAGAGGACTGAAGGAGGATATAGCAAAGGATGCCAAAAGCCAAATGGAAGATCAAAGGTGGTAAAAAGAAAAGGTGGAAAAGCAGAGGTAATGGTGAGAGAGATCCAAGAGGATTTAGTTTGGGGAGATGTTAAGTTTTCCAAAGGTGCTAAAATAGTTCCAAATGCTCTTTAGTAAAATTATGCCAACAAAAACAAGTGGATAGAGTTGGCAGGGCATATGGTTAGCAAGGATCTGAGAAGGTGATTTCAGTTGATTGAGAAGTTCCATCAGCAGAGCAGGATTAAATAGAGACATCAAAGGGAAAGCCACCACCACCGCCCCCCCCCCCAAAAAAATACTGTTTTCCAGCCCAGAAGTCAGGGATCGAATCCAAATCAAAACAAGGAGCCAGGCAGAAGAACTTGCAGCCCAGGAGGTATCTTTCAAAAGAAGCCTGGGACTGTAACCCAGCTTTCAAGGATATACTCCAAATCCTAAGAATCAAAATCTGTCCCTACCATGGTTCAACAAACTGTCAACCAAGCACTGGCTCAGGAATTAGATGTACTAGTGGATCTAAGATCAATCAGAAATGAAGAAGAAATCTTCAAAGATACACACTTGGGGTCCTGAGTGAAAAGTCCAGGAGTCCAATGATGAGTCTGATTCTATCTGAATCACTGTACCGTAACTATAAAAAATTTATTCATAGCCCTTGTTAAAGATGGGAAAGAGAACTTTATTTAAGAGAGACTACAACAGTGAAGTTTTTCCATAGAGGAGAGAGATTGGGTTCAACTCCAAAAATAACAAGAACAAATGGAGATTTATAGCTAAGAAGATAGGTAGAGGTCACAGAATAAAAAATTACTAAGGTATCATAATGTATAAGGACAATTTTGGCTAAACCTACTTGACAGGAATTTTGCTGAAGACAGCGCAGAGTGATAAGATATCAGGGGTGGGCAATGAGGATTTAATCAGATATCAAGAGTGGATGATTTTTCCCAAACTGACCTGAAAAATTATTGTTAAAACTGGACTAAACAGGCCATGGACAGAGCTCAAGGTTGGAGCTTTGAGGGTTTAGCAGAGTCTGACTAAAGTTATGTCACGGGAAGTCTTTGTCTACACACACACACACACACACACACACACACACACCATATACTATGTTATACATATAAACATACATACACATACATAAATGTATATTATGTTGGGGGAAAGAGGAACTCTCATAGACTTTTGGAGAAATCATTAGAAGATTTAAGTGAGTACTAAGTGGGTAGAGGAACATCAGTAGAATTGCAGATGGGATCAGACAAAGACTGTATAGATGTAGAGGCGAGAGGTGAAATGAAAGCAGGAGACATGTAGGAAATGGGGCTCACCCTGAGATAAGGAGATAAAAGGATTTGTGAGACAAATATGGGTGAATCAAATTGGAGCAACTTATAAGTCACTGTCTCCTCCAAACTCATCCTTTGTTGAACAGCTGGAAGAAGTGGGATTAATCCATATGGTAAAGAAGAAAATATAGATATTTGGACCGAAGAGGTTAAAAAAGTCAATGGATGACACCATTCTCTGAAGGTAAGCTACAAGTATATCTCTTTGAACCCTATGTGCCATAATTTTTAGTAGTCAGAAAATTCAAGCATATACTTTTCATTAGAAAGACTGCTTGACACTTATGGGAAACAACATCAAGAATGAGAACCTACAAAAATAAAACCTAAAAAAAACTTGTTACTCGAAGAAATAATCAATAGGAGTGTTAGGGATGAATGTTTGTGGCCGTCAAAACTTACATGCTGAAATACTAGCCCCAGTGTGATTGTATTAGGAGGCAGGTTGTTTTTTTTTTTTTGAAGGTAAGTAGGTCAGTAGGATAGAATCTCATGAGTAGGATCAATGCTGTTATAAGAAGAGACACAAGAGTTTTCTTTTTTCTCTGATCTCTGCCATATGAGAATACAAAACTTCCATCTGTAAACCAGGAAGTAGACTCACAAAACACACTGGATCTGACATCTTGATCTTCAATTTTCTGGCCTCCAGAACTGTGAGATATAAATACGTGTTGTTAAGCCACTCAGTCTAAGGTAATTTGTCATAGCAGCTCAAACTGAGTATCAAAATAGGGAAAACAGAGGTTTTAGAATAGCTTTATTTAATATTTTCAAGATATTTTAGAATATGTCATATACAACAAATAAATATCTATAGTACTTTTAATTTAAAACGTATATTTAAAGAATAAAAGTCTAATTTATAGACCAAAGAGCAGAACGAACTAAGCTGAGGAGTGCATTGCTGAAGTAGAAGAATGGGCTGTTAAAGGTCCAGGAAGACTAAAAGGATATTATTAACAAAAGAAAAAATAGAGATAGAAAAGGTACATAGAAAAGTACTAAGTGGGATGCTTGACTATAGGCTCTGGAGCCAGACTGCCAGGGATTAATACTGGCTGTCCCTTAATACCTGTGTCAACTCAGGCAAGTAATTTAGCTTCCCTGTTTCTTTCTCACTTTTAGAATAGAGATAATAATAATATCAATAATAATAACCATTCTTTAGTGTTATTATGTGAATAAGTCATTTAATACATGTAAAGTCCTTAGTAATGTGTTTGACATTATTAATTGCTTGGCAAATGTTAGCTAGTATCACTATTGTAAGGATAAAATTATACAATTTTTTTCCCATTCCCCTCAGTGTGTCTCCTTGAAAACATCATAAACTCCAAATTTGTCTGTTCTATTGTGGTTTTTCTTAAAAACTCCCTTAGTTTTACTGAAGTATAATTGACAAATAAAAATTACATATATTTAGAGTATACAACATGATATCTTTATATACATATATACTGTGAAATAATTACCAAAGTCAAGCGAATTACCATTTTTAAAAGATGCCCATCCAGGACCTGATGGCTTCACTGGGGAATTTTACCAAACATTTTGAAAAGATACAATCATTTAAGAATAATACTTCTCAAACTCTTACAGAAAATTAAAGAGGAATCCAAACTCATTGTATGAGGCCAGCATTACGCTGATACCTGATCCACAGAAGGACACTAGAAGAAAAGAAAATCACAGGCTAATTTCCTTGATGAACATAGATGCAAGGATCCTCAACAAAATACCAGCAAACCAAATTCAACAGCACATTAACAGTGTCACACATGAGCAACTGGAATTTATCCCTGGGACGGAAGGATGGTTCAACACTGGCCTATTGTTTTTAAGGCTTTCTGGCTCTGGAAACTGTAAACTCTTGCCTCCAAAATGACCTCAGGAGTCTCCCAGGAATTACAGGAGACTATTCCAAGGTGCAATAATTTATCTCTCAAAGAGATAAAAGTTTAATTTTAATTTTTCTTTCTTCTGCTTTACTGAATTAATTTATGAAAATTCTATCTGGACTTTATAGCCTCTTTTACAGACTGCTTACAATATGCAGTGTACTTTAGATGTGCTTATTCAGTAGTTAAACTCCTTTTACTGTGTCTTATGGAGAGGGCTCCCTCTATCATTTTTTGTTTTCTCAACACTATATAGTCAATATCTATTAAGAGAAGTTCTGAAAGAAAAACACTGAAAGAGGAGGAAAATAATAAAAGGAACAATTAGAGCAATACAACATAAATGCCTATAGCCAAACAACTGAAGGAGTTTTCATATTTAAGGGGCCCCATGAGTATCTCATTAAATGAGTGAAAAACCACTTATACCTAATTTAATTGTTGTGAAATCTCAGAACACTAAGATTTAATATTAAAATCTAAATATTGCCAGAGAGAAAACACACTACAGAGGAACTAGAATCAGAAAATTATCGCAATGTAGAAAATACTAGTTGAGAATAATATAAATAGATCCAATGGAAGAATAAATATGTAATAAATGCATATAAAGTGGCATCCTGAATTGACTTATCAACTCTGTTTCTTAAAAACTAGCAAATTTGTTTTTTTCAAGTTTGAGAAATTTCTTGACGTTGATATGGTCTCAATTTTTCATCTTATTTTGTTCTATGTCTGCTTAAATATTTCAACTATTTCCATCTTTCACATCACTTATTCAATCCACACAGCTCTAGGACAAATTTTTACTTTCTCAAATCATAATATTCATTATTGCTTAAAAAAAGACTCTATAATTGGGCAAAGATAAAGTTTTTAAAAAAAACCTCCATTAATTGATTGCTAAAAAGGCTTTACTTTCTTTCTCTATAAAAATATCCATCTAGAGTGTTTTATTTCCTACCAGACAGTGATTTCCATTTCTATTTGTGCTGTGCTGTAGTAGTTTTTTCTGTGGGTCTCCTGATAATCTGTCATCATATTCCACCTGGTGAAATAATAAGCAATATTTTTCCAGATTGTCTTTCAGTGGGAAAAATAAACTTGAGATAGTTCAGAGCTGAAAATAGATTCCTAATTATATAGAAATATGGGCACCACCATATCTGCTAGAAATTATCACATTTTTCTTTCAGTTGGAAAAGTTCTGGACAATTTTTAACCACTTCAGAGGCATTTTTATGTCACTTGCCCATGTAATTTTAGTGGACACATGTGTCTAGGTCAATGTCCCTTTCTTTAGGGAATCAGCCTTCCTGAATTCCTTATCGTCAAAGTGGATGTGTCAATGGTCATCTCTAACCTTCTCAAAAGGGACACATCTCCATGATCATATGATTAATTCAGGAAAAAATTTTGATTAAAGCCAAGTCGGTTACATAATTTTCTCCTAAGGTTAGAGGAGTAGATGCTCTTCTTCTCATAGGTTACAACGTAGGGAGGATTCTAATCTTGACCATTAATATCAATTTCCTTACTACAACTAAAAAGTGTGATAAAAGAGTTGAATCTACATACAGAGGAAGGGCATAATATAAAGGAAGAAGGTAACAGAAACTTGACTACATTGTTTGAACTCTCAGTATCCAGTTACATCTGAAGCTATTATATCTATAGATTTTTAAAATTAATTCAGATAATCATTCTCCATCCAGCTTTGTTCCGTTGCTGATGAGGAAGTGCGTTCCTTTGGAGGAGGAGAGGCGCTCTGCGTTTTAGAGTTTCCAGTTTTTCTGTTCTGTTTTTTCCCCATCTTTGTGGTTTTATCTACTTTTGGTCTTTGATGATGGTGATGTACAGATGGGTTTTCGGTGTGGATGTCCTTTCTGTTTGTTAGTTTTCCTTCTAACAAACAGGACCCTCAGCTGCAGGTCTGTTGGAATACCCTGCCGTGTGAGGTGTCAGTGTGCCCCTGCTGGGGGGTGCCTCCCAGTTAGGCTGCTCGGGGGTCAGGGGTCAGGGACCCACTTGAGGAGGCAGTCTGCCCGTTCTCAGATCTCCAGCTGCGTGCTGGGAGAACCACTGCTCTCTTCAAAGCTGTCAGACAGGGACATTTAAGTCTGCAGAGGTTACTGCTGTCTTTTTGTTTGTCTGTGCCCTGCCCCCAGAGGACATGGGAGAAAATTTTCGCAACCTACTCATCTGACAAAGGGCTAATATCCAGAATCTACAATGAACTCAAACAAATTTACAAGAAAAAAACAAACAACCCCATCAAAAAGTGGGCGAAGGACATGAACAGACACTTCTCAAAAGAAGACATTTATGCAGCCAAAAAATACATGAAAAAATGCTCATCATCACTGGCCATCAGAGAAATGCAAATCAAAACCACTATGAGATATCATCTCACACCAGTTAGAATGGCAATCATTAAAAAGTCAGGAAACAACAGGTGCTGGAGAGGATGTGGAGAAATAGGAACACTCTTACACTGTTGGTGGGACTGTAAACTAGTTCAACCATTGTGGAAGTCAGTGTGGCGATTCCTCAGGGATCTAGAACTAGAAATACCATTTGACCCAGCCATCCCATGACTGGGTATATACCCAAATGACTATAAATCATGCTGCTATAAAGACACATGCACACGTATGTTTATTGCAGCATTATTCACAATAGCAAAGACTTGGAACCAACCCAAATGTCCAACAATGATAGACTGGATTAAGAAAATGTGGCACATATACACCATAGAATACTATGCAGCCATAAAAAATGATGAGTTCATGTCCTTTGTAGGGACATGGATGAAATTGGAAACCATCATTCTCAGTAAACCATCACAAGAACAAAAAACCAAACACCGCATATTCTCACTCATAGGTGGGAATTGAACAATGAGATCACATGGACACAGGAAGGGGAATATCACACTCTGGGGACTGTGGTGGGGTGGGGGGAGGGGGGAGGGATAGCATTGGGAGATATATCTAATGCTAAATGATGAGTTAATGGGTGCAGCACACCAGCATGGCACATGTATATATATGTAACTAACCTGCACAATGTGCACATGTACCCTAAAACTTAAAGTATAATAATAAAAAAAAAAACTAAAAAAAAAAAAAATTAATTCAGATAATTTTTTTTCACTTGCACCTGAAAGATTCTCAACTAAGAGATATTTTCTTAATTTGACGTAAGACGAGACTAAGGTTAAGAATTTAAGTATCTTTCTCAATGTACACACATGCACATATGCACATACATACACATGTATTTATTCATCAGAAACATTCTTAATCCAAAAAAATGAAAATTGCAGAACATATTGTAAAACAGACATCTTCTTAGGCACATATTTGATGATCCAATTTTATTTTATGAAACAAATATGTAAATAAGTGAATACATAATGTATATGAGCTAAAATTATGGAAATACAATCAAGAGATCATTTGGAATAAATTATTTCCCTTTTCTTCAAAAATCATTTAGTCATTAAGACCATCTGAAAACATTAGTGTCTTAAGATATACTGTGGTACGTTGGATTTTGTTGGATGGTTTCTGAATGGAGTTACTCCGCCACTTATTTTACCATTTACGACACCAGCCCAGTTCCTTAAAATACCAGTTAATCTCTATCATATTTTGCAGTATCAATGAAAATTTATGAGATATGGAATTAAAGAGGCAGAACATCTAGAAATTCACTTAATACCTAACTCAGATAATTTTGGGATAATTTGAGGTGTTTCCTCAGAAGATGCACACACACACACATACATATATATACCTGTGTGTCACATATATATCTGCTCAGATATATCTACTAGGAAAATATAAACCTTCATTTCTTACTCACTGGTTCTTCATTGTAGAGTCTTTAAATATGTGTTTTTGATTTATGGGTTTCAGTTAAGTTCCATGGCTAGTCATCCTCTATATGTTATCAGAAGTAGCCAACTATTTACCTCCCAGCTTCCTTGACAATGACACATAATCCCCTTTCCCCAGTGTATTTACTATGACTAATGCTGTTAAACTGTCTGTAGTCAGCATTACAGATTTTTCTACAGTTTTATACGTGATCTTGAGTGGAAAGTAATGATTTTTTTTCCCAAATTGGCTCCTAAATTTTACAGATGACATGATATTCTTGAAGAATCCACAATTATATGCAGTAGTGGGTAATGTCACATAGAGAACCAAATATCTATTTCTGGATGTGAGAGCTTTTGAAAATATGTTCACAAATTTTTCTGCAATATGTTTTTGTATTTGTTCAAAAATATCCATGCCCCTCTTTGGTTTTATACTTACAGAGTCTCTCCCTAGAGGAGGAGCACACTTCTCACCAAAGTGACTTCAGGATTGGACATGTGACTTGCTTTAGAAAAGGAAATATGCACAGGAGTGACATAAGCCACATCTGGGTAAAACTTCCAAGAGACAAAATTAGAAATTTTCCTTTGATTGGGACCCTAAAAGATAAAGGTGGTGATATGGTTTGACTGTGTCCTGCCCAAATCTCATTTTGAGTTGTAGTTTCCATGATCCCCACATGTCATGGGAGGGACCCAGTGAGAAGTAATTGAATCATGGGGGCGGTTACCCCCATGATGCTGTTCTCATGATAGTGAGTGAGTTCGCATGAGATCTGATGGTTTTACAAGGGGCTCTTCACCCTTTAGCTTGGCACGTCTCCTTGTGGCCACCATATAAAGAAGGATGTGTTTGCTTCCCCTTCCAACATGATTGTAAGTTTCCTGAGGCCTCCTCAGCCATGCTGAACTGTGAGTCAATTAAACCTCTTTCCTTTATAAGTTACCCATTCTCAGGTTTGTCTTCATTAGCAGCATGAAAACAGACAGGTGGTAAGCAGGGCCACATTTGACCATAGCAACATATATATGACCAAGAAATAAAACTAATATTGTGATATTAAGGGATTATTACTGTAGTATAACTACAGAAAGCTCACTAATATACTCACATTATTTATAATTCTAAGTGACTTATTTTAAGTGTCTGACACTTACTTTGGAAATCTCTTAGCCATTATTTCTTTCAATATTTTCTTTATAGCTTTATAAGTAATTATTCTATTGTGAAAATTTTAATTATTCTGGTAATTAATGAAAATTTTGTCTAATTTTAAAAAATGTTCCCATTAGAAGAATCTGGCTGTGATATTCCCTATGATTCCTTTTATGTCTCTTTGAACCTATCCACTTTAAATAAATATTAGAATTAGAAAAATAGTTTTGTATGCTTCTTCTCATTTGGATTGTATTAACTACCCTTATAATTTAGACTAAATTCTAACTAAAATATGCTGAAATTTAACCTAGTTTAACCTCTCATATTAATATTTTTTCTGGTCTATAGATTGTCAAATAAAGGTTTAAGTAAACTTCCCCGTAAACGTATAGATATATGGTTAGTAATTTCCTCAGAAATATTGTTCAAATTGAAGCTAGAATAGTCAAGACAGTTCCTTGGAAAATAAATTTCTTCCATTTTATTTTAGTTATTTCTGTATTTTCCTCTTTGAAGACTATTTTTATTTGTAATGTTATGAGGTTATGAAATTTATAAATCTACATTTTTATTTAAAATTTTCGATAGCTACTTACTGAGCATTTTCTCTTTCTCATGGATTCTACTTGTTCATGGATTTGCAAAAAGATTCCTGAACAGTATGAAAAATAACACATGATTTGGTGATTAACATATTATAATGTTCAGAGGGCAACAAAATCTGTGAAAGTATCAAGAGGCACCTTAATCATGGTGTATTATGTCATCTTTGGCAAGTCACTTAATCTCTAAGTAACTGCTCAGTTTTGTCAAACAGAAATAAAAAGATAATATCTCAGCTTTTTTTCCCACAGAGTTATGAAGCAAAAGCAAGTGAATATACCTATGATACATTTCAACATATGAAAACTGCAAAACAAGTACAAATCATGAGATTAAATATTTTTTCCTCTGGACATTTTTATAGTAACTTATAAAATATATTACATACTACTTTTTTCTTTTTGAAATGCAATTCCAACACAAAGTATAATGGAGAAAGTGGAAACTAGATTATGAAAATGGTTTAAAATCCTGTGTGCATATGTACTCTGCCACACACAATTACTTTTAGTCTACAAAGTATTAGCTTTCTAGAAACTGCCTTATATATTCACAACCCTCATTATCAAATAATGAGAACTAGCACAGCTGTTCATGTCAGCATTAAAATGATTAGGTTCAAATGGGTTTTGCATATGTGAAAGGTAAGAGATTTTTCTCTCATGTTTGCCAAGTTTCTCACTCATCTACCTTCATTTTGTTTGAACTACGTCCATGTTAAGCCATAAAAGGTAAAACTACAGGTTTAATTTCCAACTGCTAGTCCAGATATAATGATTAGAAAAATGTGAAAGGAGTTTCAATTTGTTCTTGGGTTTGCAATATACCCTGATATAAATAATATAAATATTTTAATATACAGCTGATAGATTTTAATCACTCTGTATGCATATATGTTTAATATATATATGACAGATGCATATTTATGCATAAATATATGCACAGATAAACATGGCTATTATTTGTGCATAATACAAGTACATGCACATGCATAAATTATAACTACAGGTTAACTTATATTCTTTTATTCATAGATGCATTATTGTGCAAAACCCTTTTTCCCAAGTAAGAATTTTTTCCTTCTGGCACATATGCCAACAAAAGTTTTTCTCACACTACATTATTTTTTCATTTCTTCCAGAAGGGAACAATAGGCGACCTGCCTAATTGGGAGCTTGTATATCAAAGCTAACTTTAATTCTACAGTACTGCTCTGTGTTCTCAACATTGCTTCAATATTGTTTGTCATTCTCTGGCAGGTTTGAATGACAAGTGCAAAAGCCACCATTTTAAATTTTGTATGAAAAGAGAAAAAGACAGAAAAACTTATAAATAGTTTTTCTTGGTTTCTGTAATAAAGGGGTGCATGCATTTGTGCAGCTCAGTCAAAATCTATAATTAGAATGACATGGATGCATCAATGAGGATTTAGCAAACACCGAGAAGCTGCTAAGTGTAGCTGAAAGCGTTATGAATACCAAATTATTACCCACTATGGTGCCACCTTTAAAGTCACATTTACTGAGGGAAATGTAAACTTGCTGAATGCTATTGAGAAAGAAAACATTATTTCATGCTCCAGGAACTGAAAGTACAGAACATTAATAACCATCTATTTCCAGCTTTAATCCGCGCAATTAAAAAGGTCAGAAGTGTTAATGTTGATAAAGGTCTTTTAGAAAGAGAAGTACTAGATGAGACCCTAATTATTCACCATCATCAAGCAAAGTCGTGACAGCAATTACCACGCCGTCATGAAATAAGTATCTCAGAGGATTCCCAAGAGCGGAAGCACATTTTATACAACCAATCACACGTTATATTATTAAAGATGCAATGATAAAGGTACATTTTATACATCTAACACAAAAAATTATGCTCCGATAGGTAAAATGTGCTACGCAGATTGAATATTTTCAGTCATAATTATGTTAAATAGAAGCTCATACAATTTTTTACTATCAATGTGTCCTCTCAAACAATGCTCTCTGCTCAGAGAGCAATATTTGCCCAAACAGATATTTGATTTTAGCTCATTATTATTATAATATTTTGGAGATTAACTGAAAGACTCAGGATTAATGTAGAATTTTGGCTCCAAATAAATATTTAAATTAGAAAAGGAAAGTAAATACTGAAATGTTAAAATAAAAAATCTAACCCACAGATGGTGAATGAATCTAGAAAAGTTAGAATTATGTAATAACCTTTAAAGCTACTTATTAACAATTTCACAGTTTGAAAAGTTCAATAGGAAAATATACTTAGTGATAAACATATTCATTGATTCATCTGTCTGGGGAGTTTCTATTAAGTGTAAGTAAGTGTACTAGCCAGTACGTGTACTATTATTGATGACTTTTATATAGAATATCAATAGCTATATAAAAATATTGTGTAAATTCTTATTAGTTTATTTTACTATTTTACTATTTACTAGTTTACTATTAAACAAATATTTACATTAGCCATTGTGATAACTTCCAGTGATAACAATAAAGACAAATTCTGTGCTATTGAGTAACTCTAGCTCAAGTACATTGCATTCAAATGCATTGCAATATATTAATTGCTTTGTCAGAGTTGTACTGAAGATATTATGAAAGCCTAGAGGCTACCTTACCCTAACTGATCAAAGAACGGCTTTAGAAGTAGAAACAGTCAACATGATTCTGAAGAATTAAATAGGAAACCTCCAGCATACAGATGGGTAATGCATTTCAAGTGAAGGGAAAATCAGGCCAGAAGTGTCAAAGTTTATGGAATAGTCAGACATATAGGGAGTATGATGTCTACAGAGGAGTTTAAGTTTAATGTTTCATGATTGAGGATCATGGAATATGAGATCATAGAGGTCGGACAGGTTAAGTTAGTATGAAACTGTCAGATTTATGTTAACTTAAGAGGTTAAAGTATAATTTATATGCAGCAACAAGTATCTAAGTATATAATTTAAGAATTTTCAGTAAATTTAAAGATTTCTGCAATCATCATTAAAATCAGGTTTTAGAACATTTTCATCATGCTCTGAAGTATTTCTGTGTTCCTTTGCATTTAAGTCTTATTCCCACCAAGCCTAAGCAAACATTGACAGACTTTCTTTTTTCTTTTTTTTGATAGATATTCTATCTCTATACATCTAACTTTTAAGAAAATTTCAAATAAATTACATCACGTATTATGTAGTATTTTTAATCAGGCTTTTTTCACAAAGCCACTTTTGAGATTCTTCTATGTTGTAGCATCTGTCAGTTTGTTCTTTATTGTTCTATAGAATTCCATTGCATGGATGTATGGATTTTATTTATCCGTTTACTTTTTGATGAACATTTGGATTGCTACAAAGTTTTGTCAAGACAAGATGAATAATTTCTTCAGAGAAGTGGAAACTTACAGTTCCACTATAAGTGAAATCGAACTTAATTGCTAAAAATAAGGCAAGAAAACTACTAACATAATTAAAGAATTATTTTAATGAAACCGTTAATAGATTCAACATAGTTGAGGAAATAATCAGTAACTTGAATATAGGTAAATAAAAATTACCACACATGCAATGCATATAGAAAGTTTCTTTAAAAATTCCAAAAAGGATGACACAATATAAAAAAGATTAATATGTGTGTAACTGGAACTGGGAAAAGACAGGAAAAATGTGGAGGAAGAAACATTTAAAGAAATAACAGCCAAGAAATTTCTAAACTTAGTGTCAGTTAATTATAAGACATTTTACCTAATGAGTATTACCTAATATAATGCAAGGAAAATAGCACTTCTGTTGTATTCTCCCCCAAATTTCTAACTCCAACAACAAGATAAGAAATTGTCAGATGGAACCATATTTGGGGACATTCTATAAAATGCTCAACGAATAATTCTTCAAAACTAACGAGGTTATAAAAAATAAAGACTGAGAAATTAATGTGTATTGGAACACTAAAGGGACATGACAAATAAATGCAATGTAATATTCAGGATTAAATCTTGGCACAATAATAAAAACCCTGGAAGACATCCTCAGCAATACCATTCAGGACAAGGAATGGGCAAAGATTTCATAATGAAGATGGCAAAAGCAATTAAAATCAAAACAAAACATTGACAAATAGGACCTAATTAAACTAAGGAACTTCTGCACAACAAAAGAAACTATCAATAGAGTAAACAGACAAGTTATGGAATGGAAGAAAATTTTTGCAAACTATGTATCCAACAAAGGTCTAATGTCCGGCATCTATAAGGAACTAAAAAAAAAAAATAAAAAGAAAAACACAAACAACCCCATTAAAAAGTGGGTAAAGGACATGAACGGAAACTTTTCAAAAGAAGACATACATGGAGCCAACATTCATATGAAAACAAACTCAACACCAGTGATCATTAGGGATATGCAAATCAAAATCACCATGAGATACCATCTCACACCAGTCAGAATGGCTATTATTAAAAGTCAAAAAATAACAGATGCTGGCTAAGTTGTGGAGAAAAAGGAATACTTTTTACTGTTTGTGGGAGTGTAAATTAGTTAAACCATTGTGTAAGACAGTGTGGCAATTTCTCGAAGATCTAAAAGCAGAACTCCCATTTGACCCAGGAATCCCGTTACTGTATATATACCTAAAGGAATATAAATCATTCTATTATAAAGACACATGCATGCGTATGTTCAGTAGAGCATATTCACAATAGCAAGGGCGGAATCAATCTAAATGCCCATCAATGATAGACTGGATTAAAAAACTGTAGTACATTTACACCGTGGAATACTATTCAGCCATAAGGAAGAATGAGATCATGTCCTTTGCAGGGACATGGATGGAGCTGGAGGCAATTATCCTTAGCAAACTTATGCGGGAACAGAAAATAAAAAACTGCAGACTCTTACTTATAACCCGGAGCTAAATAATGAGAACACGTGGACACAGAGGAGAACAACACACACTGGGGCCTATAGAGGATGGAAGGTGAGAGGAGGAAGAGGATCAGGAAAAATAACTCATGGATACAAGGCTTAATACCTGGATGATGAAATAACCTGTACAACAAACCTGCATGACACAAGTTTACCTATGTAACAAACCTTCATATGTACCCCTGAACTTAAAAGTTAAAAGAAAGAAAAAAAAAATGAAAACACTGGGAAAATTTGAATAAAATCTTTAACCAGTAGCATTTCACTAATGTTAATTTCTTAATTGTGATAAATACACCATGGTTATGTCAGATGATAATTTCTGAGAAAACTGGGTGAAATGTATAATAAATCTTCCTATACTGTCTTTGCAACATTTTTTAAACCTGAAATTGCTCCAAAATAAAATATTAAGAAGAGCATTAAAAAATAAACTTGGATATAAAAATATACAACCATACCTAAAACAGAAGTGCAAGAAATATGTAATTCTGTAAGCTATATATATTTTAAAAATCCATACTTTATTTTTATACTTTTCTGTTCTAATGGATGATACTTATAAGATATAATTGATTTAAATTGAAAATGTTCTTTGTGTAGATTTTAATTTAATATTCATGATGACACTAAGGTAAGTGTGAATCAACCTAGGTTCCATCAGTGATGGATTAGGGAAAGAAAATATATACATAGACACCGTGGAATACAACACAACCATGAAAAAGAGTGAAATCATGTCCTTTGCAGCAACATGGATATAGCTGGAAACCATTCTCTTAAACAAATTAACGCAGGAAAAGGAAACCAAATACCACATGTTCTCATTTCAAGTGGGACCTAAGCATTGTGTACTCACGAACATAAGAATGGCAGTAATAGACACTGGGGACTTCTCGAGGGAGAACAGAGGGGCTAAGTTTGAAAAGCTAACTATTGGGTACTACACTAACTACCTGGGTACAGGATCATGTGTACCTCAATCCTCAGCAACATACAATATACCCACGTAACAAACCTTCATGTGTACCTCCAAAATCTAAGGTAAATGTTGAAGTTATTTTTAAAAAGCATGCATCAAAAGCTATTGCCATTATTATAAAACATATTAAAAAATTTTTAAAAAGATTTAGTTAGATAATAGCTAGAAGTTAAATAAATGGATTATCATATGGAAAAAGATAAAAATATAAGTGAATTACAATTGGAAAATATATTGTAATATTATACATATTACTTTATTTATATTAAATAAACATTGTGATTATATTAGCAAAATACTTTGATTAGTCAAATGGAATGATACAATTTTATCACACATATACATATCCTCAAGAAATACTGCAAAAATATATTTAAATAATAAAAAGATTTATTGAACAGAAAAATAGTTACAAAAATCTGTTAACTGAAAATGCTTTTCTAGAACAATTAATGTAAATATAATTTTATGTTTATATGTGTATAAATAAACCCTATATCAATACTAATTTTTATTTAATAGTAAAGACATTTTGAATGTTAAAAGAACATTTATATTGAGTGCATCCTTAGGTTTAGTTCTCATTTGTAGTTTTCCATGCACTATTTGTTTTTGCGCATGTGTAATATTTTAAATAATTTTTATGTATCATAGACTACGTTGACATATTCTTAAACTATTATCTCTGCTCTCTTCTTGCTGCCACATCATACTGTGAAAAATTATCTTTTTTTCAATGAAATTCAGCAGGATGTATGTGAATGAGTAGATATATGGAATGCTTGGGGGAAAAAAATTTATGAAGATGATAAGTGAAATGTGTGTTTGTCCAAATATTCCTCACATTCACTGCTTCATATTTACCCTTTTTAAATTTATTGAAAAAAAGACAATTGCAGTATACCAGGAAATAAGTAACAAAGTTTATTTATCAAGCAGGAGTATCCCATTGTACTTCTTTACAACAAAACTCTTTGGATACCTCTCTTCTAAATCAGAATATGAAAGTAATTCTATCATCTGTCCTTTCCATCTATCCAGTTTTAAAAGATTTTTGTAAACACATACACCACACAAACATACACACACACACACACACACATTTCTCCATAGCTCTCTGGGATTACAGCACCCATTGTCTCTGCTGTTCGTCTTGTAGCAATTTGTAATATTTCTTTTGCTGAAACTTTATATTTCATTATCGTTGTTTTGATTTCCATGTGATGTTGCCTCCACACAACACTATTAACAGTACAATAGCTCAAAATATATTTATGTGGTGGAGTGAAAATATCATTTAAGGCACAAGTAGTTGCTGCAGAATATATAACACAATGCAATACTGTTAATTAGAATGTGATGCATATGTGTACATTATTGGTGATTATAGTATATGCCAACTATGAAAATGTAATCAGTTAATAAAGATAAATTGTTTGCATACCATTGCAAGACATTGACAAAAGATTTTAGCAATAATGCAATGCTAGCATTTTTTGGACCTTATCTTTTTTCTGCATACCTAAAATTTTATTTAAACCATTCAGCATTCAGGAATTATTTGGTTGGCACAATAGTAATTGTGGTTTTGCCATTAAAGCATGGTAAAAACTGCAGCAACTTTGGCACAAACCTAATATCTTCATTAGAACGTTTCTTCCAAAAATACATGATGGGGAAGCATAAAATACAGTCTTCTCATTTCAGCTCTAACATGTAAGAAGTATTCACTATCATCCCTATAACAAGAAAAAAGCTGAACAAACTGTAAATCCACAACTTTATTTGGACTCATCAGAGAACTGAGTTTGCAGGACAGATTGCCATCTGAATTGCAAAGAGACAGGTAAATTTAAAGAGTCCCAGCTAAAAATTGCTTTACTTGAGCAGAGGTCACTAGAGCCATAAACTCTTAGAAATACGTAAATGGTAAAGTTGATGAATTGCTGGAGGCTAGATATAGACTGGCATAAGAGGGAGGAAATTCTGAGTGTGGCTGTCATAGGGGAGCCCTCACATTTTCACAGATTTTACTTGTAAGAACCCCACTAGGTTCTCATGATAAAGAGCCAAGAAATACACCCTCATCCCTCTATATGAGCAAGGAAAAAATTAAGCATGATAAAATATATCTAGAGTGTTCTCCGTAAGAAAGAATTACTTTTTAGGGAAAAAAAGTATTTATCAGAGCCTTCTATCAGCTGAGAGAAGAGAAATGCCCCCACTGCAGACCGCTTGTCTTCATGCTTCACCTAAGGAGGAAAATAAGGTAAGCAATATCTGTAAATGTCATAGCCCAAGGGCAGGAATCCACTAAAAGCCTGAGATTTAATTATACACCCCATCTCCACTTTACTGCCATACCAATAAGAGCTCCAGCATAATAATAGTGAATTCCAGCTGAAATAGCTTTAAAAGGCAGACTCTGAGTAACAATTCTTGAGAAACCCCAAAGACAATAGAAGAGACAAAAACAAGGACACCAGAGAAATGTTCAGCCTCTAGCAGCTGCAGCAACAACAAACATTGAACACTTCTTCACTCCTAGATGGATTAACATAAAAGCTGACACTGAAGGCCTATTGACTTCACTTTCTGTTCCCTGACACACCATGTCTGGCTTTCCAGAAAAAAATTACAAGGCATGCTAAAATGCATAATAATAACATAAAGGGTAAAAACATGCCTCAGGACTGGACTCAAATATTATCACAATTTGGAATTATAAGACAAATAATTTTAAATAACTACCATTAATATGTTAAGGGCTCTAATAAAAAAGGTAAACAACGTGCAAGAACAAATAGGTAAAATAAGCCAAGAGATAGAAACCCTAAAAAAGTAGGAAATACAGAAAACAAAACAAACAAAAAACTGGAAAAGAAATAAATAATGTTATTGATGGACCCCTTAGTCGACTGGCACAGCTAAAGAAAAAATTAGAAACCTTGAAGTTAGAGCAATAGAAACTCCCTGAGTTGAAATGCAGATGAGATTAATAGTAATAATAAAAACCCAGAAAATCATAGAATTGTAGTACTATTTCACTAGATAACAGTCAATAGGCAGAAAACCAAAGGAGAAAATCTTGACAATAACAGAGACAAATGTAAAAAAAGTGCAGAGGTCTTGGATAACATGAACATGAATAAAATATAAAAGTTCTTGAAAAACCTAAATTTAGTCAAAGAAATTGCCAAATCTACATTGTCAGAGAAAATTAGAGATAGATATATGTCTGGGCTACACTTGCTCTGCTTAATTCAACAATAAATCAACCAATGACCAGTTTTAAATGTTACCCTCTCCAGTATCAGAAATCAAAAGACTACAGCAGCATTCTCAGTTCCAAGCTATGCCTTTTTGTTATTGATTTCAGGAATATCCTGAAAGATTTGAACTATATTATAATGTTATTCTTGCATCCCTGACATCATCATCAAAAACAGCAAATCTATAAGTCATGTGATAGATCACATATATTAAATAAAACCCAAAGAGTTTATTCTAAATTACTATTTAACCATTTATTTAAACCATTACAAGCTTGCTAAATTTATATGTGAAAAAAAGAAAATGTTGGACTCTATTTTGTGGTCTATTCTGAAATCTATGATAAAATAAATGCATATCTGCTTTAATAGCACAGGTGTCATGAATATGTCATCTAAATGACTGCATCAAGATTAGAAGGAATGATAAATACTACTGTTGAGAGCTATAAATTTCTAGCATACTTTGTGAGCAATTATGAAGAGTCTAGAATAAAATTCTTCCTTGTTAGAATTATTATTTTGAGCTCTTGAACTTTAACCCTTGAATTTTTTTGGACAATATGTTTTGAATTCTGAGTACGAATTTCTTCCTGGGTCCAATTTACTATTTCTGACAGGTAGTTCTCATGTATACATCTATTGACTGAGCAGTCCTCATTAACCAAGCAGTAGTTTATTATTTTATGTAATTTTTCCATGCTATCTTGAGAGGAAATTGAATGCGTTAGATAATCTATTTTTATTCTCTCTGGAAAATGCATGTGAAAGTACAGTTTCTATATAATGCCATTTCATTGGAATTTAAACCCAGTAAGTAGCTATGATAAATACACTTTTATTCTCACACTGACTGCGAAACCACAAAAATATGATTTGCTAATTAAATACATACTGAAGAGCCTCATTCATAAATGATTCATTTCAATAAGAAGTTTTGGGTTCATTTTTGTTGTCACATATTGCAGGGTTTATTTCTTTGTTAAGATTGAATAGCATGTCATCGCATGTTCATACTACATTATATTTACCCATTCTTCTGTAGCTCGTCCTTGATGTTGTTTCTATAGCTTGGCTATTGTGATAGCACTGCAATAAACATGCTAAGTGTTATGATTAAGCTAGTTGCAAAAGCACAAATACGGCATGATGCCACTTAAATGTAGTATCTAAAATAGTCAAATTCATGGAAGTGAGAATAGAATGGTGGTTTGGGGAAATGGGGAGATGCTAATCAACATGTATAACATTTTCAATATGCAAGATGAATAATTTCTAGAGATCTAATGTATAACATTGTGCCTATAGATAAAAATACTGTATTGTACACTTAAAAATCTGCTAAGAATATGGATAGGTAGTGCTCTTACAAAATTTTTATTAAAGTTTGAGAAATATACAGTAATGAATCGTCAACCGAAATAACAGATTTTAAGCAGAAACAACACCAAATTTTGGAACCGTGTGTGTGTATGTGTGTATATCTATATTGATATATAGACATACTGACCTTAATTCATATTAATATTACTACATTTAATTATATTAATAAGTCAATAATTAGGATTATTAATAGAAAGAGAAAGTAGGTGAGGGCTTTCCAGGGAATAAAGGGAGAAAAAGCTGGACATAGTGTTTTTTGGAATGGTAAAAATGTTTTGAAAGAGGAAAGGTGCTGGTTGCAATACATCTTCAATGAAGTAAATCCTACCTCAGTGCACACCTTAAAATGGTTAATGCATTTTATATGAATTTCACCTTGTTAAAATTATTTATAGGCAGTAAAATTTAAATTTCATATGAGCTGAAGTGCAGTGGTGCCATCTCGGCTCACTGCAACTTCTGCCTCCCGGGTTCAAGTGATTCTCCTGCCTCAGCCTCTCAAGTAGCTGGGACTACAGGCATGCACCACCACACCCGGATAATTTTTATATTTTTAGTAGAGACGGGGTTTTACCATGTTGGTCCGGCTGGTCTTGAACTCCTAACCTCAAGTGATTCACCTGCCTTGGACTCCCAAAATGCTAGGATTACAGGCGTGAGCCACCATGCCTGGCCTATTCTTCTTTTCATCTTTTTTCAAACACCTAGTATGTAACGTTCATTCTTAGCTGAAAGCTCCTATAAAAACAGGCTGTGGGCTGGATTTGCCCTGCAGGCTCTATTTTGTTGGACCCTGGTCTAGAGACAAAATATTTCTACTTTCCTGAAAATAAACTCTTGCTCTCATGCAGGTCACTGACTCCCCTGCATTCTTTATTCACCGAAGTTTATCATGTTGAGAAAAACAAGTAAATCAGTATAATTTCCACTGAGCCAGTGTAGCTACAAATCAACGAAAAAAGTTTTTGCTTGTGTTATTGAATTTGCAGATAATTCCTTTAAAAATAAGGAAAGCAATGAGATTACAAATACTGATCTTTAAATAATAATAATTATTATTATTTTTTGAGACGGAGTTTCACTCTGTCGCCCAGGCTGGGGTACAGTGTCATAATCTCGGCTGACTGCAACCCCCACCAGCCGGGTTCAAGCAATTCTTCTGCCTCAGCCTCCTGAGTAGCTGGGATTACAGGCGTGTGCCACCATGCCTGGCTAATTTTTTTATATTTTTAGTAGAGGTGGGGTTTCACCATATTGGCCAGGGTGGTCTCGAACTCCTTACCTTGTGATCCACCATCCTCAGCCTCCCAAAGTGCTGGGATTAGAGGCGTGAGCCACTGCACCCCGCCACATGTTAAAATGTTAAGCATTTTCAAAAGATTTACCAATTCATTTGTACAAATGTAATTTAATATTTTCCCACAATTGGATTATACTGAAAATGTGAAAATAGTTTTAGTCATTTAAAACTAACCACATTTCCATACCTCCTCCCCAAATAATTATTACTTTAGATTTTTATATACATATTGATAATTATCACTTATAAGCAAGAAATATTTAATTACAACAATGCTTTATATATTAATTTACAACTTACTTTTATATGTATAGCAAATTGTACCTCCCCTCAGTAAACATTTTATATAGTGTATAATTACGGTAGATGGGTGGTTATTTGAATTAATGTTCAAATTAATGTTCGTCTCACTCGACTGTATTATCTATGCACACAGTATTGATAACTGGATAGTATAGTGCTTTACACTTTTAGGCTTCATTTTATTTTATGTATGTACAACCTTTTATATATGTATATATATTTTATATATATACACATATGTGTATATATTTTATATATATACACATATGTGTATATATTTTATATATATACACATATGTGTATATATTTTATATATATACACATATGTGTATGTATTTTATATATATACACATATGTGTATGTATTTTATATATATACACATATGTGTATGTATTTTATATATATACACATATGTGTATGTATTTTATATATATACACATATGTGTATATATATTTTATATATACACATATGTATATATATATTTTATATATACACATATGTGTATATATATTTTATATATATATACACATATGTATTTTATATATATACACATATGTATATATATTTTATATATACATATGTATATATTTTAAATATATACACATATGTATATATATTATATATACATATGTATATATTTTATATATATACACATATGTATATATATTATATATATACATATGTATATATTTTATATATATACACATATGTATATATATTATATATATACATATGTATATATTTTATATATATACATATGTATATATTTTATATATGTATTTTATATATGCATATATATATTTTATATATATACATATGCATATATATATTTTATATATGCGCATATGCGTATATATATTTTATATATGCGCATATGCGTATATATATTTTGTATATGCGCATATGTGTATATATATATTTTATATATACGCATATGTGTATATATATATGTATATACAGTTGGGTTTTATATATCACTTTTAACTGAAATGAAATTGTGTTATATCAACAGTTTTACCACATACAATGTTGTAAGGCATATTGTGGTAATGATGCAGGATTTTTTCTGCTCCTTAGCTCAGCTAGGTCTGAGTTCTCGTCTCACAACCAGGAAGAATTAGGCATGTGGACACTGGAGAGTGAGTGGAGTATAATTTATTAAGCAAAAGGAAAGCTGTCAGCAAACAGGGGATGCAGGGGATGGTTCTCCTACCCAAAAGCAGGAAAGTCCCTACCAATATGGCTGAGCCTGGGGCTTTTAATGGCTCACAATAGGGAGTGCATGGTGGTTGGTTTGTGGTTATGCAAAAAATGTTAAAGAGAAGACACCACTCAAAGGTGGGGATAACCATGTAGAAAACCAATTAGGAAAGGGGGTGGGAATCAATCAGAAGAAAGCACGCCAAAAAGGAAGACAAGTTCTCAATTGATCTGAGTTTTTAACTGGTAGCTTGGCTTTTGGGCTTCAAACTGTCTTCAGCTTGGAGGTGGGGTTTCACTGGGGACCTGCTCCTATCTTCCTAGGCATTTGGCTGCCTCCTGTTGCTATCAGTAGAAAATACAACCAGGTTTTAGAGGTGGATTTACTGGGTCAATGAGCAGGCATGTATTATAATAATCCCACTAGTCGACTTTTCTTGTTGATACTATTTTGACAATGCATAAATAATTCCTCAATAGAACCTAACATATAAGATGTTTGCCATTATATGTCTCTCTGCCTTCTCTCTGGAGCCTTTATATTGATGAGGAAGACATAATTAAAATGCGTTGGTTATTATGCTTTACAGTTTTGGTGGATTATACAAATTTGCATAGGAAAAATTGCTAAATCAAACAATTTTAAAATTGCTAAATCAAAACGAAATATTATTTGAAAACAAACTTTACTACATAATGCAGCATTGTTTCTTTAAAAAGAAGCTTGAAATCCAAATACAGTAGAGAATATTTAACAGGCTTCTGGCAGTGTGCTTTGACAGATGGTTCTTTGTTAAAACACCTAGATTTCTTCAGGATGAAATATTTCTTTACCAAAGTTAAATAAAATCACAATGGTCACAGTGAGATATGAGTCACAGCTAGAAAGTCTAGATTCAAAGCCAGGTGGTATTCTCTGATTGGAAAATACAACCAAAATGCATATGCCCATTGAAAAACAGCTAAGCAAGACAAATTATTCAAATTGGTGACTACAGACAAGAAACTGACACATCTCCACCTACTGGATTTCTACTGAGAGCTTGTGAATGATGTATTTTCATTTGCAGGTTTTTAATTTGTCTTAGAAAAATTCAGAAAATGTGTCTCTACGTTTGGAATATATGTAACAGGGTCTCTTGTATTTGGAAATTTGCCAGATATGTAATGCTAACTATATCATGAAACACAATGATAGATATCTAAGAGTTAATTGGCTTTTGGTTATATGACATATCACATTGTCAGTAGTGCATCTTATTAAAGTTAAAATGTACATTTCCAAATACAACTTGAGTAGAAATTACAAGTATTTGAATAAAATGTAATATTGTGACCATAAAGTGGAAAAGTATATGTTTCACTTGGTTTAGACCTAAATGAAAATGTTCAGAAACATTGTGAACACAAGAAGTTATACATATAATAGAACTTCGAGGACACTATATGTGACAAGTCATTTCTGTTCAATAAAGCTTACTTATCTGTAGTCAAGTCTTTGTTATATTCTGTAATGGAGCATTCATAATGTGGCTGAAACCATTAACACACCCAGCTCAGATTAGAATGTGTGCACAATGACTCAAAAAGTTTACTGAACTGTGTGCTGATTGTGAATCCCATCATTATAAATAATCAAGTATATTTCAGTTTATTCATAATTTAATGTGAGTTTTTTAGCTTTTTAGCATAGTACTTCATAGATTAGGGATTCATATTTCAAAAAAGTACTTAATACATTTTTATTATGGTTGCTAAATAAATTTAAACTATTTGTAGATAATTTTTAAATAAAAAAAGACTGTAAAAATATATTTATTTTATATTTTTTCTTCACAGATGATGTTTGTCTTGTGAAAAGATATATCGGGCTGGGCGCGGTGGCTCACACCTGTAATCCCAGCACTTTGAGAGGACGAGGTGGGCGGATCACCTGAGGTTGGGAGTTCAAGTCCAGCCTGACCAACATGGAGAAACCCCATCTCTACTAAAAATACAAAATTAGCCAGGCATGTTGGTGCATGCCTGTAATCCCAGCTACTCAGGAGGCTGAGGCAGGAGAATCGCTTGAACCCGGGAGGCAGAGGTTGCGGTGAGCCAAGATCACAACATTGCACTCCAGCATGTGCAACAAGAGTGAGACTCTATCTCAAAAAAAAAAAAAAAAAAAAAAATATGCTGTTTCTAAAAATGGGAAAGTTTGCTTGGACATTTCTTTTAAATTAGGTTTTATGAATGTATAAAACCTGAACTTTAGTGCAAAAAGATATGTTATTGTATTTTTTAAATTTTAAGACCAAAATATGTTATAATTAATATAAGAAATGTTTCAAATGTTTTACAGTTTTTATTATAAAATAATTAGTTTATTATTTGTTGTAAAATTCCAGAAAATTATAAGAAAAAAAAAAAACAAATGTAATCTTACCATGTGAAGGTAACCACTTTCTTTAATTATTTTTTATTTGTAATTGACCCACCCTATTGATATCATTGTGAAAATGCTGAAAGACTTAGTGTGTTTTATTTTTTAAATAATAAACCCCAAATCATAATATATTCAACCCTCTATCCAGATTAACTTGACATAATATTGTGTACCTCTTTTCATATTAACAAAAATAAATGATCGTATTATTTCTTATTGGATTGTATTCTTATTGTAAACATGTATTAATCAAAATTCTTCTGTCTGAATATGATAACCACTCATCTGGGTGATGTGAATGTAAAGAATAATTTATTAATTCCATCAAATCCCTAGAAAATCAGCATGGACAGCTGTTTCTTAGGATAACTGCAATTCGGTTTGTGACTGCATAACTGCAATTTGGTGAGTGACTGCTTTCCAGGACTTTTTGTCCAAGTCTTCTCTGGGATGTCCTCTGCATATATCCATTTCTTACTGGACTCAATGCATGAAAAGGTTACCATACTCGGCAACTTCACAGCCCTGCTATGACTGGCATCATCACCCGGATAAATACAATTTAAGCAGAAGAGACATGTCCCCCGCAAGAATGTCATGCTGCTTTCATGAAATGTCAGTGTGACCAGACTAACAAGTGTTAGTTACCTGTTTTCTTTAGCAATGATCACCTTTTGCCTACAATTGAGAAGTCTCTTAGCTAATATCCCTTTTCTAATCTTTACCCTCCTCCAGCCTAAATTCTCCCAAAACAAATCATAGTTGACTTCGTAGGTATGAATCAAATTATATCACTTCTCTTCTCAAAATCACCCAACAGCTTTCATTTGAAACAAAAATCTGAATTCCTTATCATTATCTACATGGTTATAAATGATCTGCTCCTACTTACATCTCCGACCTCATGTGCTCTTATACCTCACCTCTCACTCTCTCATGTTACCTAAATCATGTTGCTAAATCATCTTGTGTCCATTCCTTAAATAAATTAAGCTAATTTTCAGCATTGCTGATTTTAAATTATGGTCTGCCAAACCCTGGAGGTCACCAAGACATGTTCAAGGGGTCCACAAAGTCAACTTATTTTTTTATAATAATAATAGGACTTTATATGCTTGGTAGTGACATTCTTTCACAAATATAAAGTGGCATTTTCCAGAGTCTACATAAACTATGATACCAAACAGATTGAAGGCAGAAGCAAATATAAGAACTAAGACATCTATTGTTAAAGTATATTGTACCAATAAACCACAAGAGCATTCTTCTCCATCCTTTTGTTGTTATTATTGTCTTGGATAATGTCATCATTAAATTAAAATGTCATTTATGTAAACATGTAAGGGGTTTATTGTTGTATTTAAATGCATTGTTAAACTACTATATTTTTAAATTATCCATTTTAATTTCTAATATGGCAAATATTAATACAGATTCATTATCCCTTATCCAACATGCTTGGAATCAGAAGTGTTTTGAATTTTTATATTAAAATATTTTCATATACATAATCAGGTAATTTTGGGATGAGACCCAAGTCTAAGTACTAAATTTATGTTTCGTATACACCTTATACACAGAGCCTAAAGGTAATTTTATATCATATTTTAAATACTTTTGCACAGGAAACAAAGTTTTTACTGCATTTTGCAACCCATCCTATGAGGTCAAGCGTGGAATTTCCTGTTTGTGACATCATGTTCATACTGGAAACGTTTGGAATTTTGGCACATTTCAGATTTTGGATTTTCTGATTAGGGATGCTCAACATGTAAAAATAGCCCCCAAATCAAAAGTTCTTTGAGGTCGTCAGTAATTTGTAGGGTAAAGGATATTTTAAACCAAACGATTAGACACCACTGGAACAGATCTCAGAGTTTGCTTTTCCTCCTGTTTAAAATCTGTCTCAAAATTTTCACAAGGCTCTTTATCATGCTTTCTCTATGACCTCTTTCTTAATATTCAGATCCCTACGCAAATGTCAACTCCTCTCAGAAGCCTTTCCTGACCAAACTCGCTGAAGTAGTCCTCTATTTCACATTGTTATCTTCTACTATACTGCTCTCTTTTAATTTTATTAGCACTTAAAAGTGTTTGTTTGAAGTTGTATTATTTCTTAATTTGTCTACGAATTTTTCTATCTCTTTCACTGAAAGAGAAACACACTTTCATTTATAAAACTTGTTTCGTTCACCATTGACCTAACACAAAGGAACATATTTCAAAATCAGATTTAAATAAATCAAATATAACACGTTGCATCAATGGCAGAAAAAATTTACTGTCATGAGCAAATGAAAAGAAGATGTGGGACTTTGATGGTGGCTTCCTGGGTCCTTAATTTTCACGTGATAAACACTTTCTCAGACTCAGAGTAATAAATCAGTTCTCTAAGTGAAGTTCGTGGGTTACCTCTTACAGGAACCATTCCGTTTAGAACATCAAGTTATACACCAAAGCATTGTTTGTGTAGCTAAACTGACATTTTCCAGGAACCTATGCTTGATACATTTAGAGGTTCTTGGTTTGTTTATCACGAGCTATCTTACCTGGGGATAACCTGCTAAAATAATTCCATGTAAGTTTCCTTTTCATAGCAAATCTTTTTAGTCTATTTATTAGGGAGTCTGCTTATCAACATATTTACAAGATTAGACTGGGCCACTGACTTTCTTCTGGGGCTTTGCTCCAGTAATCAGGAGAGAAAATTAGGTCAGCTACTTTAATACTTTTCTTCCAACCAGAAAAACACCAGTTCTTAGAATATACCTATGATTTAGTAAATGTTATAAATGTGTGTTATAGGACTGACTGGGTATCATTATTTCAATATTCTTTTAATATTTCACTATGTAATTTGACATAATTTACTCCTTTTCAAAAGACAACATGGGGCTATTTGTCCAACATCATGATGAACATCCTTGCAATCCATCTTTGTACATTTACCTAATTTTTTCCTTAAGTCACATTCTCAGAAGTAAAATTCTGGGTCTAAAGACATCCATATATCACATTTGCAGGCCTGTCACAAAGTTGTCATCAAAAAATTGTGCTAGTATATATCCCTGTTATTATACAAAAATTGTCTACAAAGTGACACTGTCATCTGTATTTTCTAAAAATACATTTTAAATATTGCTAATCTTATTAGCCAAAATAAGTCTAGCTTCTGAAATTTATTATTTATTAGTAATAATAAAATATATTTGTTTATTCATCATTTTGCATTTTTATAAATTGACTGTTGATGTCTTTTACATATTTCTATGTTTGTTTCTATATTTTCTCTGTATTTTTTTATTCTCATGTTTATATGACTTAACCAGCTTTTGTGTGTGTTTGTGCATATATATATGGGTATATATACATTTATGTGTATATGTATAAATACATATATGTATGTGTATTTTCACCTGATTAAGTATTATCACAATTGTGTAGAAATTTATTGCTTAGTCTATTTTTTTGACATAATGACCATTATTCTATGAAGTTTTGACAGTAATTTTACCACAAAATGTGATTTATTATTGGTATGCATTGCAGGCACAAGGCAGGTATTATACGATTGTAATAAGTCATTATTTAGCTCTGAATTCTCCACTCATAATTTTTAGAAGACTTTTAGCTATCCAAAGCAGAATCTGGAATATTTTATTTTATTACTGACAATATAATTTTTCTGCTAATTTTTAGAAGATAATCTCCTGCTGTTCTTCTAGAAGCATAAATCAGAAACAGAAGACATAAATCAAATGCCTCCAGGGAATTGACAGTTAGTTTTAATATATAGGGAAAATATGTAACATAGCAAGGTGTGATGGTGTTGGTGGCCAACTGAAGAATACAAGCTCAACTAAATGCAAATTCATTTTGTAAAATTAATTTTAGTCAATTTAACAAAACTTGTTTAATACCTGAATCTAGGATCAGTTCCAACAGCTGTCAAACTTCAGACTGTAAGAATTCTAAGTTGGTGGAGACCATCATTCCATGCAAGTTTCATAGAGTAAATTTGTCTTTCCTTTGAACAGACACACACATGCATGAACTCACACATGAACATGCATTTGCATGCGTATGCCTATATATATGTAATATATATAATATTATTATTATCAATTAATAGCAGATATATAGATGATATTTTTGTCCTAGCACATATATATATGCTATATATATATGCTGTATATATGCTATATATATGCTGTATATATGCTATATATGCTGTATATATGCTATACATGCTGTATATATGCTATATATATGCTATATATATACGCTATATATATGCTCTATATATGCTATATATATGCTATATATATGCTACATATGCTATATATGTGCTATATATAGATATGCTAGAGTTTTTAGATTTACAAAAACAAAACAAAACCAAAAATTATGCATGTAGGAAAACATTTACATGAGAGATCAGTTGGTACCCAACCCAACAATTGTTTTTTATGAAATACATTTGTTTACTTGCTTAACATATTTCTCCTTAACTAGAATAATTGAAAGCACTATCTGAAAAGAACAAATATTAATTGTTACTATCTCTTCATTTTTTTCCTAGAACAACTTTCTCCAAATGTTTGATTTTTTTTGCAACCGCTTCATTTAATGCAAGACTTTTTTTACATTCATATATTATATTGGTGCTTTAATGCATGTTCTTCAAGGAAGTTATGCAGAAACTATTTATGAGATATCAATTTTAAAGTATGTTAAGAAATGTGGCAATCTCTAGAGATAACTCTTTTGTACTTTAATTTACACAACTTGTCAGTTAAGTACAATTGAAATGGGAATTCAGCTGCCGTCTCTCAAAGAGATTTTCTCTCTTTCCCAGGTATTTAAAAAACTTGCTATAAACTTAAGGTTTTCTACTGATTAGTATTTTAAACTAACTTGTTATAAAGGCAGGAGTTCCTTGTATTTTTCATAAAGTCTTCCAGAACTATGTGTTTTCTAAGGATCTGAGAATGATTTGTTTTATTGACATACAGTGCTTGACTAAAAAAATGTTATTCCCATTTAGTCTGGCTTTAATAATAACTACAGGAATAAATAAAAATTATATCATTTTTGATGTAGCATTTACCTTTTAAATATGATGTCAAATGAGATACACTAAAAACATTTACATTTTGACAGTGTTAAGTACAAAAGTAAATGGAAATATGTCCAAGCACATGAGAAAAAACAACACTATCTCTGTAACTAAAGCATATGAATAAAATGAAACAAGAATTGGAAAGAAATTTGATCCATTAAAACTTAGATCGCAATCCTGAAAGCACCAGTTTGGTAACTGTTTATTAAATAAGAATTAAATCATTGGTACACATTTTATTTCTTCATTCTTTACATTTTTTTCTTCATGTAGTAAAAAACTAGATTTATGTTATTGAAGCAGAATTCACTAATCATGTAAAGATTAGTTGATCCTTGAAATGCTGCATATCTAACATTTTTAGAAATTGGTTTCTCTGGGCCAGACAATATCTGAGAAAGAAAGAATTGGGAAGATACTTTCAGTTCTGTACAAAAATAATGAAACAGATCTGGTAAGCTGAAGATCTGAGCATTATTTTGACAGACATGGGAAATGGGGACTGCACCTGCCTATCTCACCTGGTTTTCAATGCTTCACTTGCACTGGCTTTCAGCCATTTTCAACCATGTACGAATGAGGTACATGGTTAACATTAAATGACAAGGTCACTACTAATGATGTCCTGGAGGGCAGCCAGCCTAGTCCCAAATCCTGAATTTGCCATGTGGAAAGAAATGAACATGCAACATGAAAAACTGCTGCCTCTAAATTCCGAGATAATAATACAAGTAATACATAGTTTCTTATGGTTTGCAAAGCACATTAACATACAAAATTTATTGAGACAATCACAACAAAAACTATGAGAAGGAGCATGTTTCTAGTTATACTTACAAACAATGCAATTCATATTCAGTATCAAATGGTATGTTCAGATTCAGATATTAATAAAAAAGGACAATTTTTAAGTAACACAAGGAGTAAAAAATGAAAACAGAAAGTGATCATTGTTAATTCGAGTTTAAGAATGATACCCAATAAAAATGTCCAAGTAAATCAATACATGTAAAATAATAGTAGTCCCGATAGCAAAAGGAAATAGAAAGCAGATGCATAGATGCCCTTTACACTCTGTCCAAATGTATGATTAGGGAGCCCTTAAATCCTGATTCTTTTTTTTTTTAACACACTCTAATACTGTCACTCAAGACCCAGGCTGGAGTGCAGTGTGGTGCCATCATAGCTCACTGCGGCGCTGACTTCCTGGGTTCAAGTAATCCTCTTGCCCCAGCCTCCAGAGTAGCTGGGACTACCGGAGTGCATCAGGCCTAACTAAAAAAAAAAAAAAAAAAAAAAAAAAATGAGAGATGGGGTATCACAATGTTGTCCAGGCCTGTCTCAAACTCCTGGGACCAAGCAATCCTCCTGTCCTGTCATCCCAAAATGTCAGGATTACAAGCTTGAGCCACTGTACTCAGCCATGATAGTTCTTAATCATCAATACATTTAGCTCTTGTTTGAAGACACTACTCTCTCCCCATTTTCACCATAGATTTATAAATTTTTGTGCTAGGAGAAACCCCAGAAACACTTAAGGCTACTTGCTTTATCTTGAAGATGAGACAGGGGTTAAAACCTTAATCCTTACCTTAATCCTGACTTTAATCCTTCCAGAGAGAGAGTTCACATCCCAGTCACTATTATGCCATATACAGAATAGCCCTAGAACCTAGATACCTAATTTAAGAATTAATGTCTGATTTTTTCTGAGACAGATACCTATCCTTCTCCCGATTACATCTGGTGACGTAAAGGTGACTAGTTTAAAATCTTACTGAAAAGAGGAAAAAATATATATCATTAAATCCTTCAGAAATAATTATATAAATACAGAAACAAATTTAGAGCCCCCCTTTTGAATATTGAATTGAGTATGTGAGTAAAGAGCACTCTACTCAAAATTTACAAAACATGTATAAAACCCAAAACTGATGCTCCCAAATATTGTAGAATCATCAGTAGAACATGTAATCAGTTATTTATATATTTCAAAATAATAATAACTGTTATCTATAAAATATGAAATTTATGTCAAGATTAAAAAAATACAAACTATGATCTTTTTTCATAATACAACTAATGACATGCCATCTATGCCTCTATAATTCAATAAGTTTATGTGTCCACCTGAGACATTCTTGTTCACATTGACAGGTGGATTTCTGTGGCTTGTTATATTCTTCATTGTATCTATTCAGTTTGGTATTTTGGAGATTGCTATCTATGGCTTCTTTCTCATTAACTAATTATTTGAAACTTTGGCCAAAACAAATGTTTCCTTGCCCTATTACCCAACAGACATAGACGTATCCTAATCTATTTCTATGCATCTCGTTTAGCCCACTTATTCCTTTCTTCTTTCATTAATTTCTCCTTTTCTTTCACTTGGTTAGAAATCCAAGTAGTTGTCAGATCTGGGTCATCAAGTTCCCAGTGATAAGAAAACTAAGAATGTTACTAATGCTAAATGACGAGTTAGTGGGTGCAGCATGGCACATGTATACATATGTAACTAACCTGCACATTGTGCACATGTACCCTAAAACTTAAAGTATAATAATAATAAAATTAAATTAAAAAAAAATTCAAAAAAAAAAAGAAATACCAGAGACTGGGTAATTTATAAAGAAAGAGGATTAAGTGGCAAAAAAAAAAAAAAAAAAAAGAAAGCTAAGAATGTTGCAATGGTATTATGCAGAAACAGAAAAAAAAAAAATGTCTCTAGCACCATCCAGCACTCACCTCCCCAAATATTTTACTTTATTACACCATGACAATAAGAGAATAAAGTTATAGCTCCATATTTCAAGTAATTTATAATATGCTAGTAGAAAAAAAACAAATACATATTATGGTACAGAATGTCTGTAAGTTGTGACCAGCAAGATACAAAGTGTTATTCAATTTAATTTGAAGAATACAGAAGGTATTAACAAGCCCTGCGCTGCAGGCTGGATGGAAAAATGATGTTTTCCTAGCAACTCTCTGTCTAATGAGAGTGACAAGATAGTAAGCAAACCATTAGGATACACTGAGGAAAGTGCTATGGTAGAGTAATGTAATAATAGTTCAAAAGAAAGACAGCTCATATCCTGCATATGACTCTGCCATATGCAGTTTTTAAAAAACAGTTTAGAAAAATAGAAAAACTTCCAAAGACCCTCAATGAGTAAACTTACATTAGACATTTGGCTAAATCCAGAAAATGATACATGTGTTGACACGCTCTTTCTCCAAAACTTCATGCTCTTGAGGAGTGGAAACTCAGCCAGAAGTAGTCTCAGAGGATAGTCATTTTAGATAGCCTCAACTTTCTCCACATTTTCTTCGGTCATCATATTTCTATTAATCCTAACACAGTAGTTTACACATTTGCCAGGTAATTCTTAAAAATGGATAAACTGTAATGTTACCTGAAGTCAAATTAAAAATTTCAGAAGTATAAACAATTGAAGCAAGAAGTTCAGCATAGCCGAGATTTGATGACACTCACACATGTCACGTTGGCTTCTCAGAATATATTTTTAATTTCACATTACATTACATATAACTCTAATAAATAATTTTGAAATAAATAAATGAGCATTCATAGCTTTTGTTGTTTTGCTTTATTTTTTTGTAACAGGGTCTCACTCTATCACCCAGGCTAGAGGGCAGTGGCGCGATCATGGCTCTCTGCAGCCTCAAACTCCTGGGCTCCAGTGATCCTCTAACCTCAGCCTCTTTGGTAGTTGGTACCACAGACATGTAGCACATCATCAGCTAATTTTTAATTTTTTTGTAGAGATTGGGTCTCAATGTGTTGCCCAGGCTGGTATTGAACTCCTGGGCTCACATGATCCTCCCACCTTGGCCTCCCAAAGCACTGGGGCTATAAGCATTAGCCACCACGCCTGGCCACATTTATAGTTTTATACTTTATAGTTTATAAAACAATTTAAGATAGACTACTTCATCTCAGTATCAGCAATACACCTTGGAATAATCATATTTAGGATAGTTAGCTTTTCATGTTGCACTGATCCCCTTACCATTATGTAATGCCCTTCTTTGCCTATTTTGATCTGTGTTGGTTTAAAGTCTGTTTTATCAGAGACTAGGATTGCAACCCCTGTTTTTTTTTTCTTTCCATTTGCTTGGTGAATATTCCTGAATCCCTTTATTTTGAGCCTATGTGTGTCTTTGCAAGGAGGATGGGTCTCCTGAATACAGCACACCAATGGGGCTTGAGTCTTTATCCAATTTGCCAGTCTGTGTGAAACCCTGTCTCTATTAAAAATACAAAAATTAGACTGGTGTGGCGGTGGGTGCCTATAATCCCAGCTACTTGGGAGGTTGGGACATGAGAATTGCTTGAACCTGGGAGGCAGAAATTGCAGTGAGCCGAGGTTGCGCCACTGCACTCCAGCCTGCGACAGAGTGAGACGCCATCTCAAAAAATACATGCATACATACATACATACATACATACATACATACATACATACTTACTTACTTAAGAATGTTGAATATTCCCCCCGCCCTACACACTCTCTTCTGGCTTGTAGGGTTTCTGCAGAGAGATCCGCTGTTAGTCTGATGGGCTTCCCTTTGTGGGCAACCCAATCTTTCTCTCTGGCTACCCTTAACATTTTTTCCTTCATTTCAACCTGAAGACAGAGGCAGAGGGCAAGGAGTAGGTACGAGAAAGTATTTGAGCATTTATCTTTAACAGGCTTGTTTACTTATGTTGACCAGGAGCTGATCTTTGATCATCTGCGCACGTGACCCGTTCTCTCAAAGGGGAACAATAAATGTTAATTACCTGCAGACTGTGTTTGTTCCAGGCTTCTGGCAGTATGCCTGTACTGAATAAAAGCAAGCAGCGCCAGCTCCTTGAGGCTGCCTCTCTGGCCACTAGTGCTGGGCGGTCCCCTAACTGCTCTTACACTGCATACCTGTGTCTAATACTCCTTTCTTCTGTCACTTGGCCAGGGTCTGCGGACAGACCCGGCAATGAAGTGCACAATAAATGTAATGTGGGTGAATCATCCTGAAACCATCCACCCCTTTGCTGTCTGTGGAAAAACTGTCTTCGTTGACACTGATCCCTGGTGCCAAAAATGTTGGGCACCACTGCTTTATGACATCTATATAGTCTAAAATTGTGCTTGGTCTGGTAATAATCTTATATCAAAGTTTTCAAATATAATAGGATGTTCAGTTCACAGAGTAACATGAAAGTGGCAATGATCAGTTGTGAATCACATATATAGTATGAAACGTGTATACCTGAAAAAGAATCTGAACACTGTGGAGAAATCACCACACAGAGGAAAAGCACTGTTCAAGAGGGAATCATGCATCTCTCAAGGGTACATTTTCATGAGTTCTTTCTTTCATAAGAATATCCTTGCTGGTATGTATGGCGGCTGCTCCATCACAAATTTGGTACCATCCATAAATGCCAAATCCTGAGAATTATCTGCATTGAGAAAGAATATAATTGTTGTGTTTAAATCAAAGATTACCGATTCTATCATACACAAGTTTCCATAAGCTGGTTAGGTCCAAAAGATTGTGAATCCTGTAAAATCCTCCCATATTTCTATGCACTAAACTCTTTGTTATTTGTTTTGTGAGATTTAAAAGAATCACATTCAAATATTTAGGAAGAAATAAAAATAATGACCAGAAAATCAATCTGCTTATTCTCATTCAGTAACCAAATAATTGAGCACATTGTGTTATAAGGTATGTTTAGAATTGTGAATACCAGTTATGTATACATTGTAGTTATTGAGTAGATATATGTTTACAGTTGTTTCCAGCTCAGTAAATGCCCTTGATTCACTTCATGTCAGATACCAGTCTATAGTTTAAACATGAGAATATCTGCTCAAGTAATATGGCATAAGAAGGGTCAACATGCTGAAGAGAAATGGGAACAGAAGCTTGGGGAAAAAAGCTATATTATACCAGCTCTGGATTAAGGTCTCAGTGGAGGTAGGGGATAGATCTGACAATCTGTGGTATGTGCCATTTCCTCTGTTTCTGGTAATAGCATTCCAGTTTGATCTTGGAAAGATATTCAGTCATTGTATCTTATAGTGGGAGAAATTAGAAGAATCAGTTACTCTCTGTCTAGAATTTAAATCTTGACAAGTTCCAAAAAACACAACAAAGTGTTGTAGCTGATTATTCCAGACATAGAGTGTTCATTAGTTTCACCTTCAGATATCCCCAGAACTCTTCTTCCTTAGTTCAGTTATATAGGGACCTTTTTTGTTCCACGACTATAATTTTCTATTCTTTCAATAAATTCACATTTAAATATAGTTTCCATAGTTAGAACCAAAAATATAAAGCTTACATTAAATTAATTCTAAATAGGTTTCAGTCTTAACTTTGCATGTAGACTTTTGGTTGAATTTTTCAAGTGAACCATTTAATAAGCCTAGTGAGTTTTCAGTTTCAATATGATTATTTTCCACTATATTAAATTGTTTATGTGTTCAAACAGCCTGTAATTTAAACTAATATAATATTATCAACAATGTTTACAATGGGTATTGAATTGATTTGAATTTTTTTACTATTTTAATTTTCTATTTTCTAGTATAATAGTGATAATAACAACAGCAATAATAATAATAATAACTCACATTTATTGACTATATAACTTCATGCCAGGCATTATTCTATATATGTATTATCTCATTTAATTCTCACAGTGATTCCATAAGTTCTAATATTAAAATTCATTTTCTGTATGTATTAGGCTATTCTTGTATTGCTATAAATAAATACCTGAGACTTGGTAATTTACAAAGAAAAGAGATTAAGTTGGCTTATGATTATGCAGGCTTTACAGGAAGCACGATGCTGGCATATGCTTGGCTTCTAGCAAGGCCTCAGAAAGCTTTCACTTATGGCAGAAGGCGAAGGGGAAGTAGATAGGTCACATGGTGAAAGCAGGAGCAAGGAAGAGAGGAATAGTTGGGGGTGGGGGGTTGCTACACACTTTTAAATGACCAGATTTCACTAAAACTCACTATCACAAAAAGCATCAAGACATAAGGATCTGCCCCCATTTTCCAAATGCCTCCCACCAGGACCCACCTCCAGTATGGGAAATTACAATTCAAAGTGAGATTTTGGTAGAGATGAATATTCAAACTATATCAGTGTATGATAAAAATAAGGCTAAAGAAAATGAATAGCTTACTCTACCTATCTTCATTTTTAACAGGCAGAACCTGTCCACCAGGCAGATTTTTCTGGTCGCAAATTTTATGCTATTACATTGGCAAAGCCTTAATAAACACAAATATAACTGGACTAGATATTAATAGCCCCTATTTTATTCCAGTGTAATTTTTAAAATCTCCAAGATAAAGATTTATATTAAGGATTTGATTTGTGTACTTGTTGTTAAAGCCATTGTCATACTAAAGCTGTTTTTTTTTTTTTTTTCAGTGAAAATAGGTAACCTGAACAGAACCCGCTATTACTTGGCAAACATTCACAGTTATTATAGCACATGTAGTGAGCCTGAATCAATTGCATGGCTCTGCAAAACTGTTTCTTATCGGTTTTATGAATAAGGCTCCATGTTTTTATAATAAGGAAATAAAGCATAAAAATAGAATGGTTGGAGTGAAAAATAAAAATAGTTGTTATAAATAAAAGTATAGCATTTTAAATTATCTAATCAATTTGACATACTAAAGATATGTTTCTGAATATTCCTGGAAATTATAGACTGTCTCACTTATATTTTTTCCTGAATTGTAGTGCCTAGCTAGCTATGTTACACAATGTAGGCACTCCATTTAAATGTAGTAAATGCTAATATGTTCAGCACTGTATGTTTCTCTTCTAAGAATTATGAACTACCTTCTGTATTAAATTCTTTGTAGAGGCTCTATTTTTACATAATATATATAAATTATTAATATGGTAGTTACTGAATTACTACTGTATTAATTCATCTAAAACAAAGTGTAACATAATTGCTTTGTGAACTATTGATTGTAAAAAGTAAAAGTAAAAGCAGGTTAATGTAAAATAACCATGAAGGGAAAATAATATTTATAGAAATGTCACACCATAGAAGACAGTTCAATAAAGAAATAGTATTAAATAGGCAAAAACATAAGAGGACTATTATAAAAATATAGCATTTGTATAAAAGTCATAAAATGGCTTAGGCATTCATGGAATATTAAAAGATAGAACATAGCAGGCAGGTGGTTCACGCCTGTAGTCCCAGCACTTTGGAAGTCCGAGGCAGGAGGCTCACGGGGTCAAGAGATCAAGATCATCCTGCCCAACATGGTGAAACCCCATCTCTACAAAAAATACAAAAATTAGCTGGGTGTGGTGGCATGCACCTGTAGTCCCAGCTACTCAGGAGGCTGAGGCAGGATGATGGCTTAAACCCAGGAGGTGGAGGTTGCAGTGAGCCGAGATTGCACCACTACACTCCAGCCTGGTGACAGAGCGAGACTCAATCTCAAAACCAAACGAACAAATGAACAAAAACATAGAATATAAATGCATTATAATACAACAAGAAGGAGATAATTCAATAGTGGTATTTCTTTCAACCGTTCCCACTATATGCAGGATAGAGTTGATTACTTCTTTGTGGTAAAAATAATTATTCATAGTTTGGCCACTGCACACTTTTTCTATTTTGTCTATCACCAGCCTTCTCATCCTGCTATGAGGCCAGTCTCCCTGACAAAGCATATATATTCTGAATTCCAATTTTATTAAAATTCAGTATATTGGCAATGATCCTTCAATAATGTACTCTCAGACAATCATGCTATTATATATTAATATTCTCTTTTTTAAATACCCTGCTTCCATTCTCTGTTATTTTTTTGGTCTCAATTCTAATAGTAATGTTCTTGCCAGCAGAAGTTATGCTTTATTCCTTTTTATATTTCCAAAACAGGTCATATTGGGAGGTCTAAATAAATCAGCTAATAAAAATACAAGTATCCTTTTAAAATAATTGAAAGAGAAAAAATGCAAGGTAACAGAGAAACGAAAAATATGCCAAAAGATATAAAACAAGATTCGTTCAATTTAAGAAATAATGCATTGTAAACTAAAAAAAGAAATTTTTGTTGAAGTACTTATCGCTATTTGGTCAAGTTCTTCGTGAAGAAACTAGAACAAAAGTACATAATTTTTAAAAAGAACTTAATTTAGAGTAAGTATACTGGAATTTTTCATATCTGCTATTAGCTGATTCTCTGATGTGGGGGACAACGTATCATCTCTACCATTATGAAAAAAAAATTCTCTACATGTTTTTCTTCATTATGCAGTATTTGAGTTTATATCATATTTCAGTTAAAATTCATATTAATTTTTACTATATCATAAGTAGTGAGATGTTACAAATAATGTTTCATAATAATGCAGCTAATAAATAAAAAAATTTCGTTATGATTATTTTCCATAATAAAATATGGTAGGCAATAAGATGTGTTGAAACAACCGCATGCATTGCAGGGGGTATAACTGTTATGGGTATCCCAGGTGATCAGGTGTTGACATGGTACATCTGAGATGCTTGTTATATTTTGGCGGGGGAGGTTATGCTGCTCACTGATAAGTAGTTTCTACTCTTTCTAGGCATATAGAACACTGAGCCTGTTGAGTCCCTTGAGTATGGGCATTTCTAGCATTAGCTATAGAGAAAAGAGGGGAAATATCATGTTATTTCCAAGATGTAACAATTAATTCCCAGTGTGATAAACTCCAGGGTGCTCTTTCCCCTGCTACAGTGATTCAGTGATTGTGGAAGCACCTGTTGAGATAGACCTTTATCAGCTAGGTCCCTTACAAAACAGGATGGGAAAATAAACTAACGCCTCCTCAATCCTGTCAACCAACATAAAATAACTTTTGTTGTCTTAAGCCACTGAAGTTTTGCGAGGGTTTAATTCCACAGTATAACTGAGTTTACCAGGACTAGTAGAGGATATGGTTTGTATTTGTGAGATTTTGACATAAATAAAAGGCTAAAATAAGTAGCAATAGATTAAGTGTTCAGAGGCACATAATTAGGTAAATGCCACCAATAGCTAGAAAGACAGGGATTGGGGCAGGTTTAATACAAAGTTAGTCAAATTTAGGCTTCATTTTCCCCCACTTTCACGGAGTCCATTTCAAAGCCCCTAGGAGGGAACCTAGTAATGTGTTCATATGGATTTTACAAATAGATATATTCACAACTGTTGCGGGAAGTCAGGGACCCCAAACGGAAGGACTGGCTGAAGCCATGGCAGAAGAACATGGATTGTGAAGATTTCATGGACTTTTATTAGATCCCCAAATTAATACTTTTATAATTTCTTATGCCTGTCTTTACTGCAGCCTCTAAACATAAATTGTGAAGATTTCATGGACATTTATCACTTCCCCAATCAATAAGCTTGTGATTTCCTATGCCTGTCTTTACTTTAATCTCTTAATCCTGTCATCTTGTAAGCCGGGGAGGATGTGTGTCGCCTCAGGACCCTGTGATAATTGCGTTAACTGCATAAATTGTAGAGCAAGTGTGTTTAAACAATATGAAATCTGGGCACCTTGAAAAAAGGACAGGATAATAGCAATGTTTAGGAAACAAGAGAGATAACCTTAAACTCTGACCGCCGGTGAGCCGGGCGGAACAGAGCCATATTTCTCTTCTTTCAAAAGCAAATGGGAGAAATATCACTGAATTTTTTTTCTCATCAAGGAACATCCCTGGGAAAGAGAATATGTGCCTGAGGGTGGGTCTATAGTTGGCCCCCTTGGGTGTGGCCGTTTTCTATGGTCGAAACTGTAGGGATGAAATAAACCCCAGTCTCCCATAGTGCTTCCAGGCTTATTAGGAAGTGGAAATTGCCAGCTAATAAATTTTGGTCAGACCGGTTGCTCTCAAAACCCCGTCTCCTGATAAGATGTTATCAATGACAATGGTGCCCGAAACCTCATTAGCAATTTTAATTTCACCCCGGTCCTGTGGTCCTGTGATCTCACCCTGCCTCCATTTGCCTTGTGATATTCTATTACCTTGTGAAGTACCTGATCTTTGTGACCCACGCCCTATTCATACACTCCCTCCCCTTTTGAAAATCCCTAATAAAAACTTGCTGGTTTTGTGGCTTGTGGGGCATCACGGAACCTACCGACATGTGATGTCTCCCCCGGATGCCCAGTTTTAAAATTTCTCTCTTTTGTACTCTGTCCCTTTATTTCTCAAACCGGCTGATGCTTAGGGAAAATAGAAAAGAACCTACATGACTATTGGGGCAGGTTCCCTGATACACAACATATGCAAACATAGGATATTGCATACTCACTTTATTAAAATCACTGTCTTCACTAACTTCCTCTTCATCACATTTTATATTCATGTTAAGTGGAATTAGAATTGCCACACCATTTCTGGCATTTGGCTAAGGGAAAGTTGAGTTGGAGACACATTTAGTTTAAGCTTAATGAAATATAACAGTGTGACTCACAATTTATAGCTAAGTTGTTGTTAGCCATGCCAGTGCAGAAATGCTTCCCAGAATATTCTACAGCCCTCTGTGCCAATTAGCCCACTGTTATGCAATAGAAATGTGGCCTGTAGCAACTGGCTTCAGAGAATATGGGTTATGGAGAAATAAGAAAATTGGTATTTCACGAAGTTAGAAATAAGTATATGAGATTTCATTTTCCAATTATCAAATGTAAAAGTACAAGCAGAGAATTTGTTTCTTCATAGAAGCCTAGTCAACACCGAAATTCTCTCCTTTCTGTAATATAGTAAATAATGTGGTGTATATATAAACACAATATATTTTTGTCTTTTTTATGGACATTATCACTATTACTACTAGCAGTGAATAATTCTGTGCATGAAATCATAAGTTTGTGTCCAGCTTGTCAACAATTTTTTTAAGTAAGGCTCCACTATACTAAGAAAGGAAAGAATTACTTTTCTACCCTCTGAGATATGATATTATAAAATTAATGTAAGATTAAATGTAATCAAAGAAAATGCAGCAAAAAAGACAGAAAAATAATTTTATAGGCATAGCAGGTAAATATATGTTTTTTAATGTATAAAGCTTCTGGTATTTGGTTTTTTGTTTGTAATTATTTTGTAATTTATTTATTTTCTCATTATAAACAAGTACTTGATTTTGTACCTAATTTTATATTTATAATTTAGTATTGTCTTTTTTTTTTTTTTTTAGACCGATTCTCACTCTGTCGCCGGGCTGGATTGCAATGGTGTGATCTCGGCTCACTGCAACCTCAGCCTCCTGGCTTCAAGCGATTCCCCTGCCTCAGCCTCTCGAGTAGCTGGAACTACAGGCGCATGCTGCCACACCCAGGTAATTTTTGTATTTTTAGTAGAGACGGAGTTTCCCCACGTTGACAAGGAGGCCCTTGATGTCTTGACCTCGTGATCTGTCCGCCTTGGCCTCCCAAAGTGCTGAGATTACAAGCGTGAGCCACCGCGCCCAGCAGTGTTGTCTTTTTTTTTTTTTTTTTTTTTTTTTTTTTGAGACGGAGTCTCGCTCTGGCGCCCAGGCTGGAGTGCAGTGGCTGGATCTCGGCTCACTGCAAGCTCCGCCTCCCGGGTTCACGCCATTCTCCTGCCTCAGCCTCCCAAGTAGCTGGGACTACAGGCGCCCGCCACTACGCCCGGCTAATTTTTTGTATTTTTAGTAGAGACGGGGTTTCACCGTTTTAGCCGGGATGGTCTCGATCTCCTGACCTCGTGATCCGCCCGCCTCGGCCTCCCAAAGTGCTGGGATTACAGGCGTGAGCCACCGCGCCCGGCCCAGTGTTGTCTTTTTTAAGAGGACTTACAATTACATAAGTTTCTGCTGTGAAAACTTGAACCCAGGCCATCATAGTGATTCCCACTTTATGATAGTAAAACTTCTGGCAAATCTTGTTTTTGACCATTTGAAACTCAGATAATGTCTAGTAATCTTAAAACCCTGAGGCTATAGGTAGAAATACAGAGTATTAATACTGTATGTTCATTGTTATTGGCTGTGTTTTCCAAGGTATTAATAGAGATGAACTCAGAAAACAACTAACAATAATGACTGAAAACAGACTTTGTCCCTAAACTCATGACCCTGGAAAACTATTTATTAATAAATGACACATGTATTAATAAATGACACATGTATTAATAAATGACACATTACTAATGTGTCATTTATTAATACAACTGAAAAGCAAGATATTTAGACATAAATATATAAAGCAATCTTATTAGCAATAGCTAAAAACTAGAAGTAGCCCAAATGTTCATGAATAGGTAAATAAATGTAGTCATTTTTGTATACCCATAAAATAGAACACTGAGGAGTAATAAAAAGAGATGAAAGTCAAAATAATTATACTGAGCATAACAAACAGAATTCCATGTATGTGAAATTATGGACAATGTCATAAATCTACCAGTATAAAAATATACAGTCATGAGAAGTAGATTAGTTGTTGCCTGGGGGTAAAGGGCAGAAGGGAGGACATAGACATGAAAGAGTCAGAGGAAACATTTGTAGGTATGCACAGGTGTCAAAATCTAACAAGTTATATACTTTAAATATATGTGGTTGATTGTCAGTTATAACTCAATGAAAGTATAAACCTAATTTATTTGAGAAAAGACTCCATTTGTGGCATGGATCAAATCAGGAATATAACCATCCTACTCATTGCTTAGTGACTCTGAAGGGATGAGTCTGTTACTCAGAGTGTCCTTTTAGTTGGGAGTAGGGGAAGAACATACATTGCAGAGAAATTAGACTGCACATGCACATTTGTCAATGAAGGTTAAGAGGACAAAAAAAAAAAAAACAGAACATGGAATAAAACAAGTCTGTATCTAAGACTTTGAAACAACCCTTGGGCTGCAACCTTCCACAAGCCAGCTGCTGGCTTACAAAATATCTTAAGTTACCTCTCTGCCCTCCTGCAATCCACCACACACACAAAGATACTCATGAAAGCAAGCCCTTCAATGTCCTCTTTCTTTGCAGTCAACAATGTTATCCTTTAATAATGTCGTGACCATTTAAAATGTCACAAAAAATCTCAACGGCAACAAAAGCCAAAAACATAATAGGATGATGATATGAAATAATGAAGAGCTCGCTGATTGATGATCTTCATGTAACGGACAGGCTAGTCAGAACCAGCATCGTAGCAAAGAGGATGTCCTCGCATATGTCCAATGAAAGAAGTCAAGAAACAAACTATATTTTCTTGGTAAGCCAGTTTGTCAACTGGTTGTTTCTCCTTGCCCATCTTGTCAGTGTAGTAGGAAAAGAATACAGTGGTTCTAAAAGCAAACATTGAGATAAGACTTATTCTAGAAATTTCAGGTATACATTTGCATGCAATTCTGACAAAAATGAAAATAAAGAAAATTAGAACTAGAGTCCTCTTGTATTTGAACTAACACCCACACCCCTTTATTCCTTGTCTATACACCTTGCTACACACAAGCTCATGAAATATGTGAGTAAATTTCTTTCCTCACTTATAAAATATCAACATGTTTTCATTGACATTAAACTACTTTTCATGAATTATACATTAATAGGTATAATACTATATTTATGACTACAATTTAAATGAATAAACATAAACTATGTATTCATAACAAGATATTATACAATATCACCAGTGTTTAAGATTCCCGCTCTGGCATAACACCAACTATTTTGACATGTAGATTCTTACATTTACTAGCTATAGGGCTTTGGATAAGTCACTTAGCCTTGTAAAGCCTTAAGTGTTCATATCTATAAAAGCAGCACAAAAGTACAGGCACTTGTTGACTTAGGATAGGGTTACATCTCAACAAATCCATTGTAAGTTGGAAATATTGTAAGACAAAAGCATATAATTCACCTAATCAATGGAACATCATAGATCACCTAACCCATGTTAAACATGTTCAGAACACTTAATTTAAGTCTAGAGCTTGGCAGAATAATCTAACAAAATGCCTACTTTATAATAAAGCATCACATATCTCATACAATTTAGAAAAAAATGTACTAAAAGTGAAAAACAGAATGGTTGCATAAGTACTTGAAGTACAGCTTCTACCGAATGTGCATTGCATTTGCATCATGGTAAAGTACGAAAAAAAAATCTTAAGACCAATCATCATAAGTTAGGGACCATTGGTGTTAGGAACCAAATGTAATCATCCTGAGGATTAAATGAAATAACCCATTTTATGGGATCACCCTAATGCCTGGCACATAGTGAGAACCCAAACATGGCCATTATTTTTATTACATGAGAAAACAGAGTTTCTAAGTTGCTTCTTTAAGTCTCAGAAATGAGATACAATTATCTTTGTCTATGGCCTCCGCAAAAAAGTAGTGGAATTAAAACTTTTGGGAGAATAACACAGTTGGAAATCTCCAGTTCTCCATGATTTTTTTTTCATGAAATGAACTGTAATTTGAAGTTTTCATTTTATAACAATTATTCTGAATCTATAGGAGGGTGGAGAGCTAATTAAATAAGCTTTTCTGTAGAAAAATTTCTCCTTGGCCTAAAGCCAGTAGATCAGAAAAAAAAAATGAAGAAGCAAAGAAGAGAAAATAGTCTGGTGCTGATGAATTCTAATGAACATTTAGGGTTCACAGGTCAGGCTGCAATAGCATGGTATGCCATACATCATTTTCTTTTTTGCTCAATTGAACCTGCAGCAATTGGTGTCTTTTATGCTTTCTTCAAATGTAGACATTTGTAGGTTATGAAATATAGGTAGTAAAAAAAAGTGTCAATTTATATTCTATAATAGGTTGACTAATGATTGATAATAAAGGATATGTAGCCACAGTATAAGTATTTTTTTCCAGAAACACAAGGATAGGTGGTAGAAGCAATATTACAACAGGTGCACATACAAATGAAGGGGAGAGGAAAACAGGTCAGATACGATAGCGTTGTTAGACGTGGTTAATTTGATTCAAGGAATAATGTTTAGGCGAGTTCAAAGGGACTATTTCCGTGTGTTTTCTTAGCTTAATCTTTTAAACACGGTTTTGTAAGGAGAGATCATGTGAATTCCACACTAAGTTGATCTAACGTCTGGATCTGGATTAGAGGAAGCTCATGAACTTCAGCAGCTGTCTTTCTGTTTTTTGGTTTTTTTTTTTTTTTTTTTGAGGCTTATTCAGTTTACTTGACACATCTACTTCATGTCTTCTGCCCTGCAACCTGGCCCAGAAAACCAGGAGTATAGTTTGTTAAAAAAGAAGTTGCCGGCAACTCCACTTCAAATAGAGGGAAGCAATCTTTAAAATAAATATTTTGAAGTGTCAGATATAATTCTTCATTTCTGTGATTTGGGAGGTAGTAATAGAGAGAAGTTGTGCTTAAATTAAGAAGAGCAAGATAAGAGGTGGGATCTATCCTTAGGAAGATAGAAAAAGTTAATAGACACAGAGCAATTATTTAAGATTAAGAAAACAATTCCTTAGATTTATGTTGGTGAAAACAAACTTCCGTCTAGGACAAGATGCTGATAAAAAGATGTAGGTTTATCAGCTAGGCAGATAGTATGTCTGTGCTCTGTTTAAATTTTGTTCACAGCTATCTTCTGAGAAATAAACCTGGAACACCACGGTCCCCATCCCGTAACAAACAGCTGATGATTAGCTCTGTGTGTTTGCCCGAATTTCCTGTGTAGTCCCTGCTTCTGTTCTCTCCTTCTCTCTTTCACAGAAGAAGAACTATCTTGATTTATTGTCTTTGATTTCCCTCTTCCTGTCATCTCTTCAATATACTATTAGGCCTTTATCCTCACCTTTCCACCTCAAAAAGAGTTTTTGTCAAAGTTATCAATGACCTATACTTTGCCCAATTCCACAATTAAATTTCATTTGACATTTTATTTAACCTTTTAGCAGCATTTGACTACATTTATCTTTTCTTCATCCATAAAATAAAGTCTTTGCTTTCATGGTTCTACATACTTCTATCTTTACTTTTTCCTCACTGGCTGCTCCTTACCAGTTCTCTTGCTAGTTCTTTTTCATTTCTTTGACCTCATTTCATTAATGTTATAGTGCCTTCTGGTTTATTCCTTTGATATCTTTAGTTTTTCAGTCTACTTACTCTCAATGATCTCATCTATTCTTCTGTCTTTCACATTCATATATTGATTGCTATCCAAAGCTACTCTTCTGAAATTCAGAAATAAACATATATCTCAATATTTGACATTTCACCTTGGATATTTAATAGGAACTTCACACGTATTCAGAAGTGAACTCCCAGTCTTCCCCTGCAAATGTGATGTGCTTATATTACTCTCCATCTCAGATAATTATCCTATCTTTTCAGTTATTCAGATCCAATAACTTGTCCTCCTGAACTCCTCTTGTTTGCTCATGGTCTTTGTCCAATTTGTTAGTGTATCCTTCCACTTCCGTATTAAAAATATTCCAGCCCAAATATTTCAACAACTGCATTGCTGCTACCCTGTTTTAAGCCACAATTATCACTCATCCTGAACTCAGTAAATGTTTCCCTAACCTGTTTGTGCAGTCTGTTGTCAAAAGTCATTTTTGTCTCATCTAATAGAGTAGGACCTTCCAGAGAATAATGTTTAATACATATTCCTTTGCACTGAGAAGAACCCTAGTACAATGATAAATATGACTCTCACAACTTCTAAAAAGTTTCCTTTTGGATAATTATTAAAGGTATTTCTAAATAGCAATTATTCTGAAAGATGAAAAGCAAGCAGCAACAGCAAAAATGTTTAGATAAATATCTGGCTAAACTGATGTCTAATGATAACCATAAGATTAGTATATTCATTTGTGTAATAGATTCTATGGGTGTCCTACCCATATTTCTTTGGATTTTGCTAGTCTAATGTATGCCAGAAGACTTCAAGTTACTATAAATGTATTTTTATTTATTCTATTTTTTTAATTTTAGTTTGAGGGTCTTCTCTGATTGCTGGAACTTATTCTGCCCGAGTGCCAAGTGTTGAAGATTTAGTGTACCCGACAAGAAGCCCTCAACTAATGACTCTTGGCTGTTTGTGTATAAATGCTCCAGCTATTTTGTCCCTTGACTCTAACTGCTCACAGTGGTTACTTGCCTGAGAACACAAAATTCCAGCTGCCTTCCCTTCCGTATCTCACTTTCTTTTTTTTGTTTTTTTTTGAGATGGAATCTCACTCTGTCACCGAGGCTGGAGTGCAGTGGCGATCTCGGCTCACCGCAAGCTCCGCCTCCTGGGTTCACGCCGTTCTCCTTCCTCAGCCTCCCAAGTAGCTGGGACTACAGGCGCCAGCCACCACGCCCGGCTAATTTTTTGTATTTTTAGTAGAGATGGGGTTTCACCATGTTATCCAGGATGGTCTCGACCTCCTGACCTCGTGATCCACCCACCTCGGCCTCCCAAAGTGCTGGGATTACAGCCTTATCTCACTTTCTTACTGTCATTCCAGCATTTGGGAATTAATTCTCAAACATATTATTTACCCTCCAATACTTTTATATTATTATTTTCTACTACGGGTATACAGGATCAGACATTCTGAGAAGTCTGTTTTATGAACATAATAGTAAAAGTCCAATAAAATGTGGAGTGTATCAGCTAGAATTTTCAAGGATGATCCTAAGTTACTGTATTTTAATGTTAATAATTCTATGTTATTAAATGAAGTGACCATCTGTACACAAATGGGTGCATACCACAAATATCCTATGCAAATATCAGATTAGCAGTAGCAGGAAGGAGATGAATGTTAAAAAAATTAGCAGCCTAACTAATGAGCATGCATCAGGCAAGTCTCTTGGATGCTTTTTCCTCTTGTGCTGACCCCTGCTACCTCATTTGTGAGATTCAGTTTAATTATATCATGAAGTGATATGGACATAGGCCAATAAGCCACATGGGGTAAATATGCACATTAAAGTTTTAACATGGTTCCATTGTAATTAATTCTTTAAACTTTGCTGAAGTCATTTCATATGACTTCTAAATTTCCACAGGTCTGTCTTAAAATATACCCATATTTCCTTTTTTATTTCAATTTTACCACAAGTCCACACACATTTCCTTGCCAAGTTTTGGGGTTCTCATTGGGTGACTAATTCCTAGCTATATCAATTATTAATGAAAGATACTTTCCATTGTCAAGTTCTGTTCACTTTAAAAATTTTTTAACCTTAATTATTTGCCTTGAGACCACCTCCACTCCAAATGATTTTACTGATCAAAAATAAACTGACATGTCTATATAAACACCAACTAAGGTCATTTTTTCTCTAATGAATTTCTTGTAATTACCATAATATTTGAAGAATAAAACACTAATTTCAGGAGGAATATACAGGTATCGGGGAAATCATATTGGAGTTAGGTAATTCTTTTCTTCTTTTTCTCCTTTTAAAGTACCACTGTTGAAACTCTCCACATAGAAAACAGGTCAATCTTGCACTAATCAATTGAACAGGAAAAAGGAGATAATTAGCAAACACTGCGTCAATTTAGTTTAATGGAAAACAAATTACAGCATAATGGTTTTAGAGACAGTGTTCTCACTTTGTAAAAACATTCAAAGACTAGTAATTCCCAAGAATTTCAAGGAGAAAGAGAAATCCTAGCATTGACAAAGTGCAGTATACTATAAAAAATATTGTGGCTATAAGATTCATGATGGCCATGAGGCCCACTCAGACAATTCACAGGGCCTACACCATGTGTCACTTAGCAGTATGATGCAACCTGGCCAGGGGATTTCCAGGAGAAAAGACCATCTCAGCACAGACACAACTCTCATAAATCTTAAAAAGAAGCTACTGTTACAAGAATAGCTTAAACTTGATAACTAACCTCAAATAAGATATAAGAAAGGGGGAAGGATGCCCCAAACTCTGAGAATAGTCTACAGATGGTCTCCTGTTCACGACACCAGCCTGCTCCTGCACTCCAGCTCATGCCAGCACAGCCAGAATAAACTGCTTGAAGATCTTCCAGTGTCTGAGATTCATCTTTGACATTATGAATCAGACCAAAAGAGAATAGTAAGCCCTGGGGAGCTGAATATCTAGGACCAGCCCAGAGGCCCAAGCACAACACCAATTGAAACTATTTTCTATGAAGTATTTTGATTTTAGCATCAATTGCTCTAGAAAAGCATTTTTAGAATAAGACAAATACATAGATGAGAGTAAATTTGAATGTTCATATAAAACAAAAATGTATTATTCTTGAAGAAAGAAAAAAAACACTTTTATCTTACTGCAAAATAGCAATTCAGTGAAAAAAGAACAGTTAGAAATAGAGAGCACAAAAAACAGTCTATATTAATATTACATGGATTTTAAATTTTATTGGGTTATTGAAAAAGTAATTGCGGATTTTGCCATTACTTTCAACGCTAATAATACCAAACTAATAATTCTAGACTATATATAGAAGTTTAAAATGGAGATAAATAAAATCAGAAAAGTTAAATGGAAAGATATGATTTTGTCACTACTTTTCCCCCAGTGCGTATCATTTTTTTCTAATTCAGAAAGCTTAATGGAGAAATGTTTTATGAAAAACACAGAGAAAATAAGTTAATGGGTGAATTATATTTATTTTACATATGATCTTAAAATTTAAAGTTTGCTTTTTAAACTACATAACATTTTGTATCCCAGAAATAAAGTTCCTCTAAAAATTATCTGTAAAATGCTAAAATATGATACAAACACATTTATTTTACAGACCTTATGTTTTATAAAAAACAATATTTCTTCATCAAATATATTTCTGAAATACTTACAATAATTCATACCAATTTTCTAATTTTAGAATTTTTAAGAGTCATCTGTATGCTTTGATATTCGTGATATTTCCCAGAAAGCAGCATAGTGGGTAAAATCTTCCATTTTATTAGAGAACTTTTTCCCCTTCTCTAATTCTAGCTGTTACCCAGCTACCCAAAGACTTTCACATGAATAGTGTTGAATAAAATGCTATAGGAGTTGAAAATATTGTTGATAGGATGACAGGACCAGGCTAACATCTTTTGAAATATAGAGCACCACCATATGGTGGTTCAGAGAATATATTAAAATTGAAGAAACCACCACTACCACAAACACAACAGAGTCAACAACATTCTTTGCAAGTGCTGCTTAGAAGTATAGCATGTCATTTCGGAGTGGCGGAGAAGTTGTTACCTAATTCTCATCTCTAATTTTGGATATACTTGAGATAGAGACAGACACTTTACATGTTGGCATTCACTCAAAGAGTGATATTGATTTTGTAGACAAGTTTATGTCTTAGACTTGTTTACAATGCATGTATATCAATGTTAATTTCTGAAACATTATCTACTGCTTGGAAATCTAGTAGGATGTACAATAGCTTTATAGTTATGTATGTGTAGATTATAGTTATGTATATCTAGAAATATGTTTGTTTAATGTGGTTTTTGCTCAGCAGAAAGTTACCGCTCTCCTATGTACATGTTTTATTTCACATACTGCCTTAAAGTTTTGTCCTGTTATGGAAGGCAGAAGGTGTTCCAATAGTGCTGCACAAATAATGAGAAAACACACCTTTCTACATTAGCTTAACACACACACACACACACACACACAAAATCCAATATTTTAATCTGTGAGAAGAATCATTAGAAAAGAGGCAACTTGTTTTTTATTCAGTTCCTAGTATTGCTTGCCTTGTAATTAAATTAGAATCAATGAAATACCATATAAAATATTTTTATTCTCATTGATAGATTCCCAGATTCTTGTGTTTTCATTCATTTATTAATTACTTCATAAAATAAGCATCTATTGACTATGGCAGAATATTCATGTTAAAATTCTTCATTTGTGTGTTCATGAGGTATGAACAGGATATTTCTTACTTATCATGATCTACGTGGTAGTACCTGATCCAAGTAATGTATTGGCAACTAAATATTTCCTAAGATTTTCTGAAATCTAAAAATAGACTCTAACTTTGGGATTTAGGATCACAGATAAATAATTCTTAGCCGGGCGTGGTGGCTCACACCTGTAATCCCAGCACTTTGGGAGGCCAAGGTGGGTTGATCACGAGGTCAGGAGATGGAGACCATCCTGGCTAACATGGTGAAACGCCATCTTTACTAAAAATACAAAAAATTAGCCGGGTGTGGTGGCAGGTGCCTGTAATTCCAGCTACTCAGGAGGTTGAGGCAGGAGAATGGCTTGAACTTGGGAGGCGGAGCTTGCAGTGAGTGAAGATCGTGCCACTGCACTCCAGGCTGGGCGACAGAGCAAGACTCCATCTCAAAATAATAATAATAATAATAATAATAATAATAATAATAATAATTCTTTCACATGGCTTTCTCTGTCAATGAAGCTGTTTTATTGAGCCAATGGCAAACTTCGTGCTTTTTGTCTTATATGAAACAGATCTAACTTCTGGTGACAGGTCTCAGTGTTGACCTTGGTCTCACAATATAAATAAAAATAACATGGATTATATATTCAAAGAATAATATAAATGATGCTACATATCTGATCTATCCTTGAAATCTGTTCCTACTTTGCAAGATCAGGTGTAGTTTGTATCTTCTCTCAGGGTAATTTTTTTAAGCTATCATGTGCCATATGTTATTGTTTCTTAAAGATGTTTTAGAGAGCTCCATCTGGGACATTATTTCATGAGTTTTTAGTTTATAAACTTTGTTTTTTGACAGGGTCTAACTCTGTTACTCAGGCTGGAGTGCAGTGGCACAATTATGGCTCACTGAAGTTTCAAACTCCTGAGCTCAAGTGATCCTCCTGCCTCAGCCTTCTGAGTACCAGGAAACACAGGTGCATCTCAACATGCCCAGATAATTTTTTATTTTGTATTTTATTGTAGTGACAGGGTCTCATTATGTTGCTCAGGCTGGTCTTGAACTCCTGGCCTCAAAAGATTCTCCCACCTTGACCTCCCAAAGTGCCAAGATTTCAGGTATGAGACACTTGCCCAATCTATACATACTTTTAGTTAGAAAAAAATTAAAAATTTACTTTGTGCTTCAGATTATAAAAGTAAAAAATTACCTGTATCTCTGGGTTGCTTATTAAATATTACATTTTTAATACAAAATACTATAAAATTAAGAATATTTAGTGCCCAACTATTTTTAAAAAGGAATGTCTTACATGATCCATATCAAGTCAATTGATAATCATATTATAGTTCTAGAGCATTTGATAGGTTTAATAAAAGTGCATTTTTATGAGTTAGATTCAAAAAATTCACTACTTTTATGTGATTCAAACTATGCTATATTTTCTCTAACACACCTCATTAGTTACGTTTCAAATCAATCTTGGTGTAAAAAGAATGAGAACAATAAACATGATTATAAGTAGGGACAGTTTGTTAAATATGCCTTAATGAGGTCCTATTGTGAGATGTGTCTTATGTACAAGGAGAAATCAGGACAAGCATACTGAACAAGAAAGGATAATCAAAACCCATGGCTAGTGAGTAGATATAAGTTTGAAATTGTTTGGTCTAGGAAGACATGTAAAATACAATTTGGTACATACAGAAAATGTAATTAAATGATAATTGCACTCAAGCACAATGAGTGTGGGATAAACAGCTTCTGAATCAATAAACCATGAGGCAGCAGGCTGAGGTACTTATTGATTTATGATTCATTTAGCTCCAAGTTTACTCCATTTCTGATTTAATTGGAACTACTGTATTCATTATGAGAGCTAGGTAGAATGATTGTATCATTTTACATGAGAAAAAGATTGTCTGAATTAATATGAACTTTAGGTTTTAGGCTTGATGTGAATATAGTCCTCTGAAGTTTTCCTATATATTTACCAAACAGGTTGGTATATAGAAGTACAATAAAAAATTTTTTGTTAATATATTTATTAAAGGAAACTTTAGGATAGCATACACTTCTGATGAATAAAAAATTTGTTGTTTCCTTACCTTAAGACATAAATATTATCTTGTAATGCTCATCTCATCATGAGCTTTAAATAAAAAGCATTTTTGTTTGTTTGTTTGTTTTAAGACAGAGTTTTGCTCTTATCTCCAGGCTGGAGTGCAATAGTGTGATCTTGGCTCACTGCAGCCTCCGCCTCCTGGGTTCAAGTGATTCTCCTGCCTCAGCCTCCCAAATAGCTGGGATTACAGGCACCTGCCACCAAGCCCGGTTAATTTTTTTTGTATTTTTAGTACAGATGGGGTTTTACCATGTTGGTCAGGCTGGTCTTGAACTCCTGACCTCAGGTGACCCACCTGCCTCGGCCTCCCAAAGTGCTGGGATTATAGGCATGAGCGACTGTGCCCAGCTTTTTCATTTTTACCTAGAGAAATTGTACATTTTAAATAAACAAGACATCCTTATTGTTGCTGGTGCTTGTCTTTATTAATTTTTACGTAGTTTTATTTTATATTTATATTACTAAATTTAAGCACCTTCACAGACAACGCTCAAGTATGCATTCCCCTTTCACTGGTTTCAGGTGGTCCAAAATGCAAAAATTTAGCTTTTCCCTCTAGCAATATAAACAAGCAGCAGTATTAACACCTGAATTAGGATGCTTTGGGAGTACCTGTCTCTGAGGCTGTATAGAGTACGCAAAAAGTATAGCCACTAAATACTCACAACTTGTCACTTTTTTATTAAATAAATATAACTATTATTTTATTTCATCACAGAAAGCTGTCAGTTTACAGAGGATCATACTGGAAAAATAAGAAATTTTCTGAGGAGGTCAAGCTATACAACTTATGGTAGAACTTGCACCTGTTAAATATTTCTCAAACTGAGAGAACAATGAAGCACAAAGGCTGCTCACAAAGAGATTTTTACAAGTTAATTATCTGCCTTTTCACCCAAATTGTAACCTCTACCTTTCATCATGTTATCGCTTCTTATATAACATTGATAAAATATTGCTATTGAAAAAAGTGATGATTAAGGTCCTAAAGAAAGCATGTGTCATTTATTCTACTCATATGAAAAGCAATGATCTCTATCCCTATATCTGTCAATTCATGAATGTATTCATTCAATGGCTTTGTATCATCAGTATGAGAATATTTCAACTTCTTCTCTGGATATATTTAAAACCTGGGCTTAAGTCCTTTTCTTGCACACACTACTCTAATTTATTTGTCATCAGTCGTAACCTCACTGATCATTCAAATACACCTTTATTGGTTTGGATAACCCCCCACAAATGTGAAAGGCATCCATCAAAAAGATGTTCCAGCCAGGTGTGGTGGCTTGCACCTATAATCTCAGCTACTAGGAAGGCTGAGATGGGAGGATTGCTTGAGACCAGGAGTTTGAAACCAGTCTGGGCAACACAGGGAGACCCTGTCTCTAAAAAGAATAACTTAAAAAAAAAAAATATGTTCTATATTAAATACAGATCCCAATTTAAACACTTAGCAACATATCTCTACACAGTATCTTTCTTGTCACTTTCTAAAATATTTCCTTACTATCTTGCCAACCAAGGAGCACAAAGCTATTTGTATTTAATGCTGTGGAGTCCTCAGCAGAAACACATTCACCTTCCTCCCACTGGGAAGATTTTCCACCAAGGGAATAATTTTTGGTTTCATATCAATAGAGTTTACTATCTAGTGATTTCGCAGAGGTGAAAAATGGACCCATAGGAGTAGAAGACCTTGTTTCAATGCCTTGCTTTATTATATGCAGTTCCCTGTATAACACTTATAAATAAAATATTGGCTTTTGTTGTTTGGTGTTTTCAAAATTGGTTTTGAGCCTTGAGCATGGGTTTACACAACATATAACAAAATGCATTATATTTTGGCAGGAAATAAATGTTGATTTATGAGCATATGTGGCATGGAGTTTTTATGAACAAATTAGTTTCTCACAATAAAATGTTACTTGAAAAATGATTTGCGTATGTAACCAAAGCGGCGACTAAAGTCAACCTATCCCTGATATGAATATGTTTGGCTAAATTGTAAAATCGATGTCTTGCATCAAGCTATGGTGTGTTGAAAGAATTCCCGAGTGTCTTATACTTGCATGGTTATCTCTGACTCAGCCACTGCTCCTTCTGAGCAGTGAATCCTCATGAATCCTCTCCTCCCCCACATACTCTGTCCCTCTTCTTCTCTGCACGTTTCAGTATAAACCTAAGCCCTTTCTTTGCATCTATATCCTGAAACAAGTGTGTGCACACACACATACACAGCCATTATTTGTTGAAAAATTTATTAATGGCTTAGATGAACAAAATTATGTTTATACTATGGTAGATCAAGTAACATAAATGGGAATGTTAAATATCTGCTTCTAAAACAACACAAAATAATAAGCAATATATAAGCTAGCTTTCATCGCGCTTTTCTGAGGATTTCAATACTTTTCCTCTTTCAACTTCTGTGCTAAAGAGAAATAAAACAACCAATAAGAAAGTCAACTCATTTTGTTTTTCAGGGTAATTCATACATTGTTCAATTATCATTATATAGTTCACATTTGTGAGACTTACTATAGGTAAAGGAAATCTATAGGGTATATGAATCTTGAATTCTGTTGATATCAACAAACTTCTCACTAGAGCTGGTAGGACAGGTTGCATTCCCAACAGTGTAAGTGCTTCTGTGTCTTTGCATCCCAATACTAATCTCATCTAATATTCTTATCTTTGTAATGGATGTTGAGTGATACTTTCTTATGACATTGCCTAGTAAGGTAAAGATTTTAGTATGTTTTCTGGTCATTCTTTTTTTCTCTTCTGTAAATTCCCACTTCACATCATTTGCAAATGTCAAATTAAGTTAGCTTTGTTACTGGCTATGTAAATTTCAAAACTCAAAGAAAATAGACTGTGTTAATATTGGCAATATATTCTCATGGTGGAGGCGTTTACTTAAAGGATCCCTCAGCAATTTTTGGTGGAAACTCACAGACTTCTCCAAGAATACCAGATTAGTGATCTAATAATTATCTTTTTAAAATCTATCAGATACTTATAATGTTTTAGGCAGATTTTCATCTCAGTTATGAATAAAGATAAACTTAAGGGAATGGGTATATATTTCAAAATGATAACAAAATGAACTCCTTGATGGCAGCCCCAATAATACCCTCAGAACACTGAAAGTTCACTTCATTTTACATTAAACACCCTTATGGGAGGAACTAGGCCTCAATGAAAAATTATATCATGATATGGGTTATTTCTGCAGCTTTCCATAGATATCACTGAAAAATGTAGAACTGAACTCGGTTGAATTGATGCTGACCCATCCTATCCCTGATTCCAAACATACTCACTTGCTTGGTTAATGTACTTTGTAATCAATGATGAAAAGTATATTTGTAAGGTATGGGGATTGCCTCTATATGCCATATCAATGTAAAAGATAAAACACTTACGTCTAGAAGAAGGAGAAGCTTCGAAGAGTGTTCTCCCTAGCCTGGCTTATCACTGTGAGAAAAGAGAGTTTATAAATGGTATGAATGCTAGATATGGGTAAGGGAAAAAAGAGTCCCAACGCGGGAGCCAGTCAAGCACTCGCTTAAGAGGGTGAAGCCTGAAGGCCACCTCTTACCTCCTTCGGCTTCTGGAAAGAAGGGAGCTACTTCAGTTAGATGGAAACTATTCATCTTGCTTTACGGTACAATTGGAGTTCAGGATCAAATCGTTATATTTTTCTTTCTCAAAGCCAAATGCCTTCCTCCTGCTTCTGATTTTTTACTTCTGGTAGTATGATACGGGGAATGATACTTCAAGAGTAGATTTTTATCCTCTTCAATGCTAAACTTTAACTTTTTTGCCAGACAGTATGTCAGAGGTAATAAGTTTCGATCCAGACGCATAAACTTAACTTCCTTTAGGAATTAGTGAAATATCAAATTTGGCCACACTATTCTAAAAGGAACATAGCTCTTCTTATGCAACAACCTTGAAGTTTACTGTATGTATCTTAAATAATCAATTTCAAAATTAATTAATCAATGTATGTCCTTGATATGACACTTTCAGAATTTAAAAATATTTTAAGAGATTAATAAATCAATTGAATTTATAACTATTCCTGTAATATCTATTGTATACCAAGAAAATTGCTATGTGCTGGGGAAACAACAGTGAATAATGTTAACTCTGATCTTTACCTTCAAATTGTAGCCTATTTAATGGGGTGGTACAAAAAGAAACACATAAAAAGCCAATTAATAGGAGTCCACTAAATGCCGATCTGTCCTAGGAATAGAAATGTACATTAAATTTTAATTATCAGCTAGTTTATTTACATAAAACTGAACAAATCTTGCATAGTGAGTACACGTGAGATTGTATTATCTAATGCAATTCAATTTCATATCCATGACGATTTACAAATATGCATATTCAACATATGTCTGAGAAAAAAGTGGATTTTTAATGTATTTATGTGATTTGTGTTAATAGAAATGTTTAGGGTCGTCTTAAACTTCACATTGTACATTGAATTATGAGAGTTACTGTGTAGTAAGTATGCTACACTTGTAAAAATATTTCCCTTTAAAGGAGCTTAAACATACTGGGAGATTCCCAGAGAGACAAAAACACCTATAAAATTTAGAGAGTGATATGATGAAGCACTCATTTTTTAAAAACTGAATTCACTATATTTCAGATTTTTTTAATTCAAAATGGAATCATTCATCATTGAATATCTTTTTTCTCTACACTACCTTTAAAACAAACTAAATATTTCATTTGTTTCTGTAGTTAGGGATAGGTTAGAATAAATATGACAATAGCGCCAATGATTGAATAAGTACTATGAATTAGTACTATGTTATTATTTTACTGTTATAAATGTGCCAGTTTTGATAGACAACCAGTTGCCACTTGGCAAGGTCTACTATTTTACAAATTTTCTTAGCTATCATTTACTGTCTGTATTTTCGCATTTAGGTGGCACAATTTTCACATTCAGCCTTGGGCTTTCTTTGCTCTAATTTTTGTTTATTCACGTATAAATTTTATCTTCAAAAGTAATGTTAAATGTTTTATCTCATCAGTATTTTAATCATATTGTGCCCGGAATTGGTGGGTTCTTGGTCTCACCGACTTGAAGAATGAAGCCACGGACACTCACAGTGAATGTCACAGTTCTTAAAGGTGATGTGTCCGGACTTTGTTCCTTCTGATGTTTGCACATGTTGGGAGTTTCTTCCTTCTGGTGGGTTCACGGTCTCCGCTGGCTTCAGAAGTGAAGCTACAGACCTTCACGTGAGTGTTACAGCTCTCAAGGCCTCACGTCTGGAGTTATTCATTCATCCCTGTGGGTTCCTGGTCTCGCTGGCCTCAGGAGTGAAGCTGCAAACCTTCGCGGTGAGTGCTACAGCTCACAAGGCAGTGCTGACCCAAAGAGTGAGCAGCAGCAAGATTTATTGCAAAGAGCAAAAGAACACAGCTTCCACACTGTGGAACGGCACTCAAGTGGGTTGCCACTGCTGGCTGGGGCAGCCTGCTTTTATTCCTTTATCGGACCCCACCCACATCTTGCTGATTGGTCCATTTTACAGAGAGCTAATTGTTCTGTTTTACTGAGAGCTGATTGGTCCATTTTGACAGGGTGCTGATTGGTGCATATACAATCCCTGAGCTAGACACAAAAGTTCTGCAAGTCCCCACTAGATTAGCTAGACACAGAGCACTGATTGGTGCATTTACAAACCTTGAGCTAGACACAGGGTGCTGATTGGTGTATTTACAAACCTTGAGCTAGACACAGAGTGCTGATTGGTGTATTTACAATCCCTTAGCTAGACATAAAGATTCTCCAAGTCCCCACTAGATTAGCTAGATACAGAATGCTGATTGGTGTGTTTACAAACCTTGAGCTAGACACAGAGTGCTGATTGGTGTATTTACAATCCTTGAGCTAGACATAAAGGTTCTCCAAGGCCCCAGTGGAGAGCTGCTGGCCCCGGTGCTAAGCCCCTCAGCGCCCGGGGCGTACAGTAGCCCACCGCTCCAAGTGCAGGGCCCACCAAGCCCATGCCCACCTGGAACTTGTGCTGGCCCACGAGCACAGCGCTCAGCCCCAGTTCCCGCCCACGCCTCTCCCTCCACACCTCCCTGCAAGCAGAGGGAGCCGGCTGTGACCTCGGCCAGCCCAGAGAGGGTGTCCCATAGCGCAGCCTTGGGCTGAAGGTCTCCTCAAGCGCAGCCAGAGTGAGCGCCGAAGCCAAGGAGGTGCTGAGAGCAAGCAAGGGCTGCCAGCATGCTGTCACCTCTCAATATTGTTTTGTAGTTTCTTTAATAACTTTGTTAGCACTTTTGATTTCATACTTCGCAGTAGGCTTTATTGTGTAACATCATTACTTTCAATACATTCAATATTTTCTTGTGACTTAGGAATACAGTAAGAATATTTTTTTCAAGTGAATGAAAAATGAGGGAAATAAACGATATAGAAGTTACTCCTAAAAGCTTCATATTGACAGGAACAACTGGTTTTATGTTCAGAATATATAACTAATATCTACCATAGCGTGTAACTCACTCTAGCTGAGCAACAGATGCAGGTTAAATGAGTGAATGTGTGCTTTACCTAAATTTCAGTGGTCAGAAATCCTGCTGCCATCAAACCTAGCACAATACAGATGATAGGATATGTATATTTTTAACCAAAGAATGCTTTTACATTGTGTAATGTATCTCCATTTCTGTCCTGATCCACTGGCTGTTTTCAGAATTGTGAATACTGAAGTCAATTGAGGAGTTTTACTTCAATTGCTCCCTTTTCCATAAACCAATCAGATAATCTTAGTTTTTATTTGAGGAAAAAGGTAACACTAGCGATCATGTTAATATTTGAGTCTGGATATAATATAAAGAGAGATAATTTTTTGTCTTTAAGAGGATTTACACCCTGATTTGCAATTGAAAATAAATAAACAGCTACTTTTGTATAATAATCTGATGCAATGAAAAATACTAAAAAAAAGTTTAGCTATTATTTCTTTAAATTTAAATTTCAGAAAATTTTTAAAAGGTGATTAATTTTAAAACCATCTCATGTTCTAACATTTATATATTTTTATTTGTGACATTTGCTAGAATATATTGGTTAGATTTTTACCTTGTTTCTTTTGTGTATTGAGCATAATAACTATCAGCGAGCTATAATTATTGAATAGTAAATTATTAATCTGCATTTTTAAAATAGTATAATTACATAAATTCTAGTAATATTCCACTGGTTGATTGACTTAATTCAATACATAAAACTAATAGTGCTTCTCATTATCATTATGAATATCTAATTGTTTTTCTTCCTCTTGGCATCTAAATGGCAGTGATTATCAGGAATGTATCCCTGATGAATTTCCATGCATTTTCAATTCTATGTAACTTAATGAGTGAGCTGCTTACAATTCCTTATCTCTTGCTTACTTTCTTAATCAAGCTCCAATTTACTATTTCCATCAAATTTTCTGGATTATGCTGTATTATAGAATGTGGGCTTTAAAAAAGCCAAAACTGTTCTCTAAGGTATGTAGATCTATGTTTCTAAACAAGTTGTATGAATTCTCAATTATTACTAATATTTCTGTGCCTCTGATGCCACATCTGTGCAATAGAGAAAGACTTAAGGCCACCTGATGAAATTGTTGTGAGGGTTAAATGCACATTCTGTATCTAGCTCACAACCTGACACAAAACTAATATTCTTAAAAAATTATTATAAGCAGTAACAATACTGGACAACTTAAATTGAAATTCTGTTAGTTCACACTAAGCTGCTAGATCTGTTTATAAAAAGACAGTTATGTTATTAATTCAGTATACGAAAATGCAGTGAAATCGTTGAAGAACTAAAGTCTCTAATCATCTGAATATCTGAATAAATCTTTGACAATGGAAACTTCTGCAGTATTGAATTATGAAATGGTTGACTTAAAAATGACAAAGAAAATACTAATGTCTTCTTTTAACAATTAATTTCATCAGAATAACAGGAAAAACATGTTTTTAGAAAATATTTCACACTGTTGTATTTGTTTTTGTCTTATTTGCTTTCCATGGTGCTAGTCACCTAGCTCCTGTTTAGTAGATACAATTGGTAATTGACATTAAAAGCTACCAAATATTTTACAAGCAGAGAGGAATAAACAGACCAGCTTATATGGCTCTATTGTTTTTACTGTTACCTAATGTTACTGATTGAGAAAGAGTATCACAAGAAGTCTTTTAAATAATTGAATTTAAATAATCTAATTATAAATTTTTCTTTTTAATTTTGAATGAAACTTGTCAAAGTAAAAATGATATACTGATTATAATTGTACATATGCATATATACATGTGGGTATATATATAATAACATGTATGTACATCAGTATAACTCTATAATTATTAAGGGTTTGAATTTGTGTTATGTAGTACAGATTCCTTTCGACTTTGAAGTAGACATCACAGGTCTGCCCACGCTACCATGTGCTTTCTCTCTCCCAGCCCCTCCTGGTTAAATACTATGCCCACTAAAGGCACTATGTTTTTCTCCTCAGACAAGGAGAGGAGACTTTTAATCATTGGTCTCCTCCTACTGATTCTAAGTGCAAACAATGTAAAACCCCTCTTAGGCTGAATTTGAGGATTAAAGTACCATATTAAAAAATACTTATGACACTGCTTTATTGTTTGACTTATTATTATTTCTACTAGTTCCAAAAGCCTATATTCTATCTAATTATATTGATTTAAACTACAGTGAATTACTGGTGTTACTATTTAATATTTAATGTCACTTTGTTTTGTGGTCTACATAAATTCTGAGTGGTAATTCCCGTATTCAAATCTGCTTACAATTCAACTCTTAATTTCAGTGAACAGGAAATTTCAGAAAATTAGAAGAGAGGAGCCAAGTGTACTGGCTCACGCCTGTAATCCCAGTACTTTGGGAGGCCAAGGTGGGCGGATCACCTGAGGTCAGGAGTTCAAAACCAGTCCAGCGAACATGGCGAAACCCCATCTCTACTAAAAATACAAAAACTAGCCAGACATGGTGGCAGGCACCTGCGGTCCCAGCTACTTGGGAGGCTGAGGCAGGAGAATCCCTTGAACCTGGGAGGTGGAGGTTGCAGTAAGCCGAGATCACACCACTGCACACCAGGCTGGGTGACAGAGCTACACTCCATCACACACAAAAAAAGAAAGTAAAATAATAAAATAAGAGACAGGGATCAATTGAAGTGTTCTCCATGTCATTTTTTCTATGTTAAAATCAATGTCCAACAACATAAATATTTTATTTGTGTTTATTTTAACCTTATGATTTCATATGAAGAGCAGCATTTGTGTCAGTATCTCTGGGTCCTGAGTTTGCACGACTCACTTGTTTTGGAGATAGACAAATGATGAGGGTAAAGGAATACAAAATGTCACAGTCTACAGATAACCCTCTGTAGGAAATTATAAGCCATATTCCCTGAGAATTATAGGGAATGCCCTCAACTCTATGAACAAACTTTCCTGAGGCTGATGGGGAAAGTGATTCTTTCCTGATAATGGGTTTTACTCAGCCCATTGATTAATGCCATTAACACTGCCAATGAATACATTCCGAGGTGTAACAAAAATACCAAGCTTTTACTAAATAGATATGGAAATATATATTTAATATAATGAAGTTACAGGCTTCTGAACCAAAGAACAAAGGAAGGAAATATAGAAATATGTATATTCAAATATGTAAACTTATTTATCACTCCATAAGTGAAAACATGGGGAAACACACAGATTAAAGAAGTGATGTCTGTGATGCTTCTTTAAGAAATAGAACAGTAACAATTATTAAGAATTTTATTTCCATAAGAAATAAATTATTTATATAGAGGGACAAGAAGTTTCAGGTCTCTATGAAAGAAGAAGTTTCTAAAAATCTGCCATTAACACAACCGTTCTGATAACTGTATGTCCCCCTACCTATGACAGAATTAGACTTGTATTTCTAACTAAGCCAGAGTAATTAAGTTTCAGTTGTTCAGCTATATCAAAACTGTGTCTCCTAATCATCCAAATGGTTAACACAGGTAGAATCTTTTCTACATCCCACTTTATGGTAAACTTCCTACCTCATTTTAGCCATAGAAAAACACCTGTGCCTTTACAATGTCTTCTTTCTCTCTGTCACACACATACTCTCACTCTCTTTCTCTATCCCTCCCTCCCGTGTGCTCTCTCATGCTCTCTTTTCTCCTAATGTAGTATATCACTTTAATGTGCATAAATTTGACTCCCGGAGTTGTTAAATTACAGATTGTAGGGCCCACCTGCAGAGCTTCTGATTCAGAAAGACTGCCTTGTGGCCTAAGAATTTTCATTTTTAACAAGCCCCTCAGGTGATTTTAATCCAGTTAGCTATGATGATATTTTAGGAAAATATTCTCCAGCCTATTTTCTGGTGCACACAGACTTAGCCCCAGCTGTTCATCTAGTATTTTTTCAATCTCCTCTAGTGCACCTGCTAATTTCTGGTGTCTAATTTGTTTAAGATATTCCCGTATGCCATGTAATTTTCATGAATATTTTATCTCTTATTGCCTGCCTATTCCATTTTCCAGAGTGCCACTGTACCAAGGCAAATCCTTCACTCTTGTCAAGCCCTCCTCCCATTGTTACAGCTCTCACCCTCTCAGGCTTAGCCACCTACTTTCCCAAGATGCAAGACCAGTCAATAATGAACTTCCTCAATTTTCGTTTTACTTTTTCCTCTCCAAGTGGCTATTTTTACTAGCTCTTAGCAGATTTTTTAAAATGTAAGTTATAGAAAAAAAAACGCATCTACATATTTCCAAGGTTAGCCTTCTCACCTATTTTTTTTAAATCTTTTCTTTTAATTCTCCCCAGGGATCTTTCTGAATACATTTCATATAGGTTTTCATTTAACAAATCATAGCTGAGAATCTACTTTGGGTCAGATCCTGAGATGAGTTAAGACAGGCACCTTCTGTTTTTCACAGTTTCAACATTTTCTTACCTCTGATTCCCTTTAAAACCACACTCATAAATTCCTGACACAGTCTTAAATACTTTCTTTTCCACATCCTCACACCCTCTTTAATTCCTGGTACCATATGATGCTTTAGACAAATCTTCATGAATCTTTACTCATCACATCTGAGAGGCTTAGATTGTTTAAAGTCATTGAGATTCCCAAAGTTCTTTTCCTAGCCTCCATGTTTTCTTTTCAGGGATTCTCTTCCTTGTTAAACTGTAAAATCAGTGCAATTACGTGTAACTCAAAAAAGTTATGCTCAATAAATAACATTCTCTAGGTAATGTTAATTGCACAGTTTCTGGTATACATAGTGCATTTGTAGAGGATATTAACTGTCATTATTGTTGCAGATATTATTAATAGTAATAATTCTTGGAATTATTTCTGAAGCTCCACTGTCTTTCTAAAGTTCCAAATATGCATTTCTGGTTTTTGCTTACCGCACCTGAAGATGTATTTGTGAGTCAAACTTACTAAAAACAGCTATATATAAATTGTCAACAGTTATGTGCTCACCAATTTTGAGACTTCTTTCCATTCCTTATATGGTCTTGTACCTTTCTCTTTGTTTCCTTTTGATTACTAAAGGTGTAATAAATCTGTATCTAATAAATCTAATAAATTCAATGGGAGGAATACATTGCATTTTCTAAAGCACTTGGGAAATATTTTTTAAGTAAAAAGAAAATAGTTTGCTCTGAATTACTAACGTAAGAGAGAATGAAGGGAGCTGGGTATTTCACAAGAAGAGTGTCATGTCCCTCATTTAATAGCACAGAAAGGGACCTTGTTGCTAGAATGCGCCTTGTGTTCTCAGAGGGGAAGATATTCTAATTGAATACCATATGGAGCACTATTTATAGAAATGTTCTAAAGGATGTTTAGATAACCATTTTGTAGTTTTAAAATATTTTCCATTAATACAGTTTTAAATTCGATTTGCTAATTTCTAATCATTTGAGCAATTAATTGGTTTGACATCTAAGGCAGTCAGAATGATTAGTGCTACATTCTGGATATAAACACATGCATGTTTGAACTATTAAGCATTAATTCATTAAAATATATTTGTGATGTAAGTTATGTACCCAGAACTGAGCTGCTCACTAGGAATCTATTGACAGACATGAATTGTTTTCATGTAGCAAAATTTATAGTCTGTTGAAGGAGACGTATTAATGAGAGTACAAAGTGATCAGTTACATGAAGTATAGATGTTCTGAAAGCAAATAAAAGACATTTTTGCCAAGTTTACAGAGTCATAACAATATTCCCTAAGACATAATATAAGGTGATATCTAATACGTAAGAGAAAAATAGCTGAATGAACTATTATCTGTATAGTTAATGCTCCTGTGGGCAATATTATGGTGGTGATGCTGAAACTCTTCATTATCAGAATAAAGACAACCAACCAAACAATGAATCAGTTCAAAGCTGTCAACTGTACTAGTATCTAAAGAAATAATTAATGTACTTCAGATGTCTTATTAATCACTCTGAAAATGTTTTTAGAGTATGAATTCAAATCCTGAACACATTTAAATAATCATTTTTGTGAAATATAATCAAAGAGACTCAAAGCTCATTTTGTAGTTGCCCTGTCCTAATCCTAAAAATTACCATTCCTTCAAGAAGTTTTTGTTTTGTTTATTGGAAAATAGCATTAGAAGACAAGTACTGGTGATTGTAGCTACTAGGATGTCACCACTTTTAGTGGTGCCAGCTCTGTCTCCCTCTCTCTCTCTCTGTCTCTCTGCCTCTCTCTCTCTCTATATATATATGTATCCTAATATAATATATATTATAAAAATACACATATCTATATATTTTATAATATTCATAAATATAAAATATAATAATATAATATATATTCTAAGCTGTATAAATCTATTCAAATTTATGTATAATTATATATTTACAATTATTTCTCTGTCCATATATATATAAATTGTATAGGTATGTATGTAGTTTTAAGCTAAAAATAACCCCTACTGATATCTCCAATGCTAATTCAATAGAATACAATTTATTCCAGTCTTCCCCTTTCTTCTTTGTAACTTCACTGTCCAACAGTGAGAAACTTGGCTCTAGCTATTCGCCATCCACCATTTATTTACTTGTTTGTTCAACCCCAGTATACATGGAAAGGAATTTCAGAATTATTAACCCATACCAATTTGAGAAATATTTTTAGCAAGCAGAATATAGCATTTATTTACAGCTTGTTTTGTCTTTAATTGTACAGTTTGCAGTGAAAATATCATAATTCAAAAGTACTTAAATCAGTTCCTGTTTTTACTCACCCCTTCAGTGAAGTTATTTGTGATAGAATTAGATGCTTTTGTCTAAAGTCTGAAAGTCTGCATTCTTCGCTGAGATCTTTGAACCTCTGGTTGTGTGTGGACGTGTGTGCAAGTGTGTGTCTGTATGTATGTAAGTTGTATACATTGAAGTTCCTGCTTTATAATGTACAGTTCTACAGATTTTTCCACACTCATAAACGTTCACCACCTCAGAACCGTTAGAGAATAGTTTCATTATCCCCAAAATTAGTGTGTGTGTCCTCTTAGTCAACTACTTTCCAGTTCTCTCTGGTAACTAATGATTTGATTCCTATTTATATAATTTTACTCTTTCAATAATATCATATGAATTAATTCTTGTAACATGTCACCCTTTGGGTCTGACATCTTTCTCTTAGCAAAATAAATGTAAAGTTTCCATAATGAATCTAAAATCATTTCAGATAAAATTGTAGATTCATTTTGTTAAGATCCATTTTCCTTTTTTTGGTGACGTTTGGAAATGTACAATTGTTCTAGCACTATTTGTTGAATTTATTGAGAAAAGACTTATTCTCTACTTGAGACAACTTTGCATCTTTGTGAATAATCATTTGACTGTATTTGTACGGGTTTATTTTTGTGCTATCTATTCCATTTCATTGATCTATGTCTATCATTTACCATTACTACACTGTGTTGATTACTACAGCTTTATGATAGTTCTTAAAAGTAGGCAATATAATTTCTCTGAGCTAATAATTTTTTAATTTAAATTTTACTTGTTCATTACTGGCATATAGGAATGCAATTGACTAAAACATCAATTGCCTTTGTGTACTTTGACTTTTACATACATGCTTTTTAGGTAGGGCTATGGAATGGTAACATATTATCTAAAAAGTATATATATTCTGGCTCACCAAATGCTGATACAATCTTATAGCCTTATTTGTACACAAGAAAAGATTTAAATTTTTATTTTTTATAACAAGGTTTTGTTTTGAGAGATGAAAATAGTGAAGTTTGTCCAATTGTATTCATTTTATTGACACATTAAAGGAGCATATGAATTGTTTATTCAAAAAATGGAGGGCATAAACAAATATAGTGGTATCAGAAGAGAGTCGTATAATAATTCTGAATACAGTAAAAGCATGGTACAAGTAATCTGTAGTACCGTCAAATAAGAGCCATGTATATGTGCTCAAAATATGTTAAATTTTTTTCTGTATGCTAATTAAGCTACTTGTCATTAATGATTCACTTACATATCCAATCAATCTACCTGTTTGGGAAGAATGAATATGGGGAGCCTTACTGAGATAACATGCCAAAATAACTGCAACATAAGTTTTTTCAAGGACAATTTGATGGCTTCCTATAGTGATTGCTCCAATATTATCATTATTAAATTCTAAACCACTAACTCTAAATTGATTGAAGTTAATGTGAAAAAAATTATAGTTGAATTTTGCTAAAATTGATGTCAGTTTTAATGTCTGCAGCACAGTAAAACTTTAAGTAGGTAAAATCTTACATAATTTTTCTAACATGAAGAGTTATCTATATACCCAAATATAAATGAAAGTAAAAATGAACAATTTGAGCAATAAAAAGTATCATAGAGAAAATTTTAATGATTAAATTTTATTTTGTAATAGTTGGAATTCTATTAAGTAGAAAACTTGGATTAAAAAATTTTCAATTGAATCAGAAAACTATATCTTGATGTTCAAAATAATGTTTCTAATTTTAAAAAACTATCTTTTTTTCTAGATATAATGAGATATGAACATACAATTGGTATTTAGTGGCAATTATACAAGTAATTATTTATGATTATGGATTTAACTATTTAGTTGACTATCAATTAGTGTTAATGCTAATTTTTGTTTTTTTATTCATTTTTTATTTTTTATTTTTTGATACGGAGTCTCACTCCGTCGCCCAGGCTGGAGTGCAGTGGCAGGATCTTGGCTCACTGCAAGCTCCGCCTCCCGGGTTCACGCCATTCTCCTGCCTCAGCCTCTTGAGTAGCTGGGACTACAGGCGCCCGCCACCACACCCCGCTAATTTTTTGTATTTTTAAGTAGAGACGGGGTTTCACCGTGTTAGCCAGGATGGTCTCTATCTCCTGGCCGCGTGATCCACCAGCCTCGGCCTCCCAAAGTGCTGGGATTACAGGCACGAGACACCGCGCCCGGCCATGTTAATGCTAATTTTGTAATTTTTCTTGAAGTTTGGAATATTGGAATAACAATGGTATTTGTTCTCAGGGGCACAAACTAGCTAAATGAATGTAATGGAATCACTCAAATTTCAATAACAAATTTTTCTTGTAGATAAAATGTAACAACTTGATCATGTCTCGAGTTTCTCAAAGAGTTACTGTGAAGGTGGGAAATGTATTATGAGTAGCTATAAATATAAAAAAGTATATTTAATTCAAGGATTATAAGGTAAGATAAAGTTTTGCAGCATTAACTAATGTAGATATATGTATTTTCTTGTCTGTGTTATCTTTTACTACTCCCTTTATATATTCTGCTGTCTTCAACCATTCCAACTATAACTTGGCCCACAATCTGCAGAGAGGTTAGAGCATAACTCAAAGCGAAGCCAGAAGCAAGCAAACAAAAATCAAGCCATATTGTGGCTTTCTAGATTCCAATGTCAAGGACCTCCTATAAATAGCAGTTTTGGTAGAATACTTGCCTAACCTCTTGTCTTGTTGATTTTCTTTTTCTCTCCTGTGGGCTGAGAAAGGAATAAAATCAGAAATAAATCTGAAGACTTTAGTTCTGAAGTGAGGCTTCGAACAATCCCAACACCCTAGTCCTCTCGGAACAAAACTGTGAAGGTGGTAGTGATAAAACCATGGATAAGTTCGGGTACTGAGGAATTGAACAAATGTGTGCCTTATTTCTCAGATAGGACTTGGCAAGGAAGATAATGTCCTATCCCCACCAATCAATGTGGTGTATTAGCAGAAGATTAGATTCGGCTGTAAGTTGTATTTGAAGCATCCCATTAAGTATTTTCTGGGCCCTCTAATTCTTGAAAATAACTAAATTCTCTTTTTTAAAAGAAATATTTATGCAATTATTAAGAAGTAAAGGAGAACCCAAACTGTTTAATGACTATGATGAGAATTCATTGCAGTAGAAATCAGTGTAGACCAAACAACTTGGAACAAGGATACCCTAAAGGGTTCCAATGAGAAAGTACAAAGATAGCATGAATGGTATGAATGATTTGCAACAAATGCCTGCTTAGACAGACATCAAACAATGGTGAATGACTCCTTGTTTGTATGGTTAAAATGAGGAGATAATGAAATTTGTAAAATCTTATCCTATTTGTGATCGGAGTTCAAAAATCACAGTTAATTGCCATACAAAGAGATTCTTTTTTTTTTTATGCTCAAAGAGATGGAGAATAATCAGAACAAATTTCACAGGGACTACACTAGGTAGACAAGATACATTAGACAAATAGCAGGTGAGTTCTAATTTTCTCTAGAGTCAAATTATCAAAGTCTAGTTGTTCAAGTTTCAATTTTCCTTAGAGTCAAATAATCAAAGTTTAGTTGCTCAATTAGGATGAAAGCGGACCCCTGTAGATATAAAGTCTAATCGAAATCTGAGAAGTACCTTTTTATGAAAGGTTCTTGGAAGACACGGTTTGATGAACAAAATCGACATCTGCAAGGATACACAAAGTTCATTGACACTAATCAGTGGTACCAGGGTTGGCAAGCAAGGCTTCAGCGAATAGCTCAAAGGCTGGCGATGTGTAGCCCTGCCACAGCCTATGCTCTCAATGTGTCTGTCAAATGTTGGGTTTGTATGTGTTTTGGAGTCTAGTAGCTGAGGCCAATAACAAACACATGTATTCTGTTGAGGTGTGACATACATTCTCATGAAAAGAGGGATCACACTCCATGATTTTATCATGGCAAAAATATATGTTATTCATGTAGCAAATTTTGTAAGTTTTTGGAGTCATTTAAAAGCTACACGACGCTCCTGACCTTAATGCCCTATCCCTTGAAATGTAGATGCCACTCCAAACAAAAAAAAACAGAGAAGGAAATTCTGAATTGACTAAGATTTTGTGAAATCAACAAAGATTATGTTTTCTGCCATCAAGTTGACTAGACACTTTAAATAGAAATTTAGTGATTTTATAAACTAATAATCTCTCTTTATATTTGGTACTCCTCAATATGGATATTAATATCTCCATACAAATAATAACAAAAACAATAAACACTAAAAAAATTGTAGTTCCAAAGAATAAATATGAAAATGATAATTTGAAAAATTCTCACATTTAGCAATATCTTAAAACAGAAAAGATATAAATGTAGATAAGTAAATAGATCAGTATTCAGATAGATATATAAAAAATACGAGTAAATGTGAGTTTTATTTTAAATGTCAAGTAATTCAAGATGGAAGATGGTTATATTCTTACCAAAATTTGAATATTTGCCATATTGTGTAGTTACTAATATTTTATAGTGTTAATCAGAACAATAGGTTTGTATTTTACCGTCACTTAAATGATGGTAATGATATTTACTTAATAATCCTACTGAAAGTTCTCATGTATTTTAGAAATGGATCTCACATTTCAATATCAACATAAACTGAATGGCACCTTGACTGTGAAAGCTTTTAAGCCACTACATATAACCAGGTGTTTTGAAACAATTGTTGTACTGATATTTATTGCACACATGATATTGTGTACATGCTAATTGTGTTCATGATAATTGTAGAGAATTACCCACAAGGCCCATGTATGTAGTTTTGACTTAAATATATTCATTTGGCTGAAATATTTAAATTTGTTTGATGTCAGTTGAAGGCAGACATTACCTACATTAAGATGGAAGTGAACACACTCTATAGGGAAAGTCAAGGATCTTTACAATTTGTATTCATAATTAGTAACTTAAAAGAAGATTAGTAACTTCTATTGTCCTTATTTACTTCACTGAGGATACTAAAATCAAAATCATAACTTCTATTCTCTTATACCAGTGGAGTGTCCCAAGCTTTGGATTATGTACTTTCATGTTTAAATCTATAGTCAAAGTCCCTGAATAAATAATATTAACTTTAATAAGTCTAGGTAGATAGGTAGATAGATAGATGATGTCATTATATTATTATATTGTTGTTATATCAATATATAGCTAAGATATTATTTATGTAAGAGGTAGTACCTTTTGATTTATTTTTTAGTCTTTTTTAAAGTCTCATCTCTGAAATAATGACTTCAATATGTTTTGCAGCCCTAACGTTCAATAATTTGCTTAGTATTATTTGATGAAGGCTTTGAGAAAAATCAGTTTTGTCAGTGTGAATGATAATCTTAATTTAAGGAGGTGATTTTTTCATCAAAAGAGAACTGCTTGAGATAATGATAAAGCAACAGTTCTAGAACTGGGTATAACTGGATTTAATTTCCAGCACCAACAACACTTCTCAGCTATGAGAATTCTGGCAGCCTACTCCATAAACCTGAAGCTTCTCATACATACATTTATATCAAATGCTAATTGTGAGAAATTATAAGGAATGCATAAAAATATTTAGCCCAATGAATCATTCATGATAGGCACTCAATAAGTGGCAGCTATTATCATAGTGTCAGAGCATAGATATTAAGTATGTCAAACAGTGTCTCAGTCTGTGCTTTCAACAGATAGATATTGAGCAAATTGAGCAGATCTATCAATACCTGTATTAACAGTCAATACTATTTTTGGAGTCTTATTATATACAGTAACTTTATAAGAGGCAAGACTTGGTCTTCAGTATATGTAACTGCATGTGAATTATGTTGTCAGAGATCTCTACTTCTTCCTCAAAGGTCAGGTTGGGAGGATTTAATAGCCCTATTAAGTGCTTTGAGCCCCTTGGAGAAATGATACCACAGAAATGCAAAAGGTTATTTGCACATGCATCATTGAAATATCATAGGTACCCGTGGAATATTATTTTGGTTAGCCTTCTACCACAGTAGAATGACGATGGGAATTGACTATTCTATATGAATGCATATCTGGTGCAATTTTGGTTAAAAGATAAAAAAGTCAAACTTCAAAGCCAAAGAAGGTGTTTCCTGAGTAATGAAGAGCTTTTGAATGCTCTGCATCACATACCCTGAGAGTAATGAACAGCTTTGATCATGGTCTGAATCACATATCCAAACAATCAGATTCTAATAATTGCTACTTCCTTTTATGTAATGGCCAGATTGAACACTTCAAAGACATATCTACCTTGTTGGATAAATTCATTGACTGAAGATTGCTGGGAGCTTTATAAAGGTTATTGAAAAAGTGCCAGCTAATCAAATGACCGCTTAGACCAATATTTCATTGCAGCATACATAGCATACATATGCTTAAATTCCTCTTAACCCATTAGCAATTTACTGGTGGGTTGGTTTTTCCGTTTCTGTTTACTTTGATATGACATAAAAAGTGACACAGTTTTACTATGAAAACTTTTTAAACCAGCCATTGGTAAATTATAGTAACTACATTTAAAATTATTTGGATATTTGTTGGAAAAAACACACAATGCATTTGTGTAATGCCTCCCTCTCCCTGCTTGAGGCCTTAAATTACAAAGTTTATATTGTCAAGCCTGCTGGAAATTTTCTAAACAAAAGAACTCTTTTCTCTCTGTACACGTTTAGCTTCATTATAATTCAGTTAATTATACACAAATAAAGACAGGAAAATAATTTCAAAAGTAAAATTAGAATACTGTAATTTGTGACAAAACTATACTAAAAATAAATTACAAATAATTGGGACAAAATTATATTAATTACACATAGAGAAAATTACTTTATTGCTCCTAATATTACAAATTAAAATCTAGTTTGACCATGAAGCAACTTTGTTGATCATAAAGGATTTCTTTTTCAATGCTAAGAAGATGGATTTTCATAATTATAGCCATTTGAATATTATAATGTTTGGGAAAAATTACTGTGTATCGTCGTCTATACTGAGGTTTCTGACTCATATACAACAGCACGAAATACATTATTGCCACCAGTTAATATCATCTGAAAGATGTGATAGGCTTAGCAACTGCTTATCTCTGGTTCTTAAGAGAAAATTTTCTTCCTTCTGCATTTAGCCACAAGATTAGCTAGCACTTCCAGCACTTCACATCTGGTCTTTCTTGCACCTCACTGAACTCACAGAATTGAGAGATTTACCTGCTGAAAGCCTTGTCACAGTTCCAGCCTCTGCCTCATCTTAATCCTTCTCATCCTTTCCCAAGCTCCACACTTCTCTCCATTCCAGAGCTTCTGCAAAGACCTACTATTGTTACAAATTGCTCAGTGGAGTCTAGAACCGAATTTGCTCTCAAATGTGGTTGCATCATTTTTCTGTTTTTTATGTACAAAGTACTAACATTAGCATCTAAATGCAGCTGTGTTGCTACTCATCCTCAGCTACTCCAAGGATTCCTCAGATACTCAAAGGATAATGCATCAAAGTCTGCAGAGATTCTCTGTATAATTGTCCTAGTCATTCAATATATAATTCAAAATAAAATACAGTTTTGCAAGTGGTGCAAGTGGACATAACCATGAAAGGAGGCTTTTTATTGTCACATTATATATTAATCACTTGCCGCACCTAAACAACCTCCTCCCACCAAATCTAAGAAATAAGAATGATGCTGCTCAAATATCTCACACTGGGGAAAATAAGAAAAATAAGGAAAAATCTGTAAATTGGTTATCTCTTATGTAAAGTTTCAGGGAAAGAAGAAGTCAACAAATACAGCAGCAATGCCATCTCCATCAAGCTACCAAAGACTTTCTTCACTGAATGGGAAAAAACTGCTTTAAAGTTCATATGGAACCAAAAAAGAGCCCTCATTGCCAAGTCAATCCTAAGCCAAAAGAACAAAGCTGGAGGCATCACATTACCTGACTTCAAACTATACTACAAGGCTACAGTAACCAAAACAGCATGGTACTGGTACCAAAACAGAGATATAGACCAATGGAACAGAAAGAGCCCTCAGAAATAATACCACACATCTACAACTACCTGATCTTGGACAAACCTGACAAAAACAAGAAATGGGGAATGGATTCCCTATTTAACAAATGGTGCTGGGAAAACTGGCTAGCCATATGTAGAAAGCTGAAACTGGATCCCTTCCTTACACCTTATACAAAAATTAATTCAGGATGGATTAAAGACTTAAATGTTAGACCTAAAACCATAAAAACCCTAGAAGAAAACCTAGCAATACCATTCAGGACATAGGCATGGGCAAGGACTTCATGTCTAAAATACCAAAAGCTATGGCAACAAAAGCCAAAATTGACAAATGGGATCTAAATAAACTAAAAACTTCTGCACAGCAAAAGAAACTACCATCAGAGTGAACAGGCAACCTACAGAATGGGAGAAATTTTTGCAATCTACTCATCTGACAAAGGGCTAATATCCAGAATCTACAAAGAACTCAAACAAATTTATAAGAAAAAAACAAACAATCCTATCAAAAAGTGGGCAAAGGATGTGAACAGACACTTCTCAAAAGAAGACATTTATGCAGCCAAAAGACACATGAAAAAATGCTCATCATCACTGGCCATCAGAGAAATGCAAATCAAAACCACAATGAGATACCATCTCACACCAGTTAGAATGGCAATCATTAAAAAGTCAGGAAACAACAGGTGCTGGAGAGGATGTGGAGAAATAGGAACATTTTACACTGTTGGTGGGACTGTAAACTAGTTCAACCATTGTGGAAGACAGTGTGGCGATTCCTCAGGGATCTAGAACTAGAAATACCATTTGACCTGGCCATCCCATTACTGGGTATATACCCAAAGGAATATAAATCATGCTGCCATAAAGATACATGCACACGTATGTTTATTGCGGCACTATTCACAATAGCAAAGACTTGGAACCAACCCATATGTCCAACAATGATAGACTGGATTAAGAAAATGTGGCACATATACACCATGGAGTACTACGCAGCCATAAAAAATGATGAGTTCATGTCCTTTGCAGGGACATGGATGAAGCTGGAAACCATCATTCTCAGCAAACTATCACAAGGACAAAAAACCATACACCGCATGTTCTCACTCATAGGTGGGAATTGAACAATGAGAACACTTGGACACAGGAAGGGGAACATCACACACCAGGGCCTGTTGTGGGGTGGGGGGAGGGGGGAGGGATAGCATTAGGAGATATACCTAATGTAAATGACGAGTTAATGGGTGCAGCATACCAACATGGCACATGTGTACATATGTAACAAACCTGCAGGTTGTGCACATGTATGCTAGAACTTAAAGTATAATTAAATATATATATATAAAAGAAAATGGAAAAAAAACATTTTTAAGTGAGAGTGGGAGTAGGAAACGGCAGAGAGAAAAAACAAAAAGAGATATCTCAGGTGTATCTTGGGATTTAAAATTGTTCTTAAGGGATATATGTACCTAGCATCCCATGTTGGAACTTTAAAGGCAATTTTCTATAAACCAGTATTAAATCTTGCATCATTATTTCAACCCATATAGATTATTGATTATATGCTTAATTGGAATAATTCTATTTTAAGAAATGTGGAAACAAATGGTTATAGAGCATGAAATCTCCTGACCTGAGACATGTTTGAATTTTGATTCTAACACATACTAAATGATTGCAAATGACATACAAAACTTCAATCACTCAGCCATTTAATAAGGCAATACTAAGAAGAATATTGAGCAAAGCAGATACATCACTTCCATCATAGATCTTGTTATCTGGAGAAATAATTACTAGGGATAAGAGCTCTCATAAAGAGAACATCGTATTTGTCAGCCACATGTAAGATACATCATCTAATTTAATCATGAAAACAAACCCATGAGATGTTTACTATTATACTTTTTAATAGATAAGATAACCAAGAAATTAAATCACACACACAGAAAATATAAAAACAGGGATTCTTTGTCAAACCATCAGATTTTATGCCATGTAATCTCTACCACAAACCACTTTTCTAAACCTCAGTTTACTCCTCTAAAAACTGAGGATTATGAAATTATTTATTCTACAAGGTTTCTGTAAAAACTAAAATGAGATAATCCATTAAAAGGACCTATCGCAATGTTTGCCACATAAAATGTGTCTGATCAGTGTTATATGCCGTAATTGTTATTTTTATTACCACATGATTAGATTCTCAGGGGATCACACACACACACAAAATAGTGCATTTAATTTCTAGGACTTCTTGCCACCTGCACCCAAGATTTTCTCTCAGGTTTGGTTTTTGAAGTAACCCATACAAAAACACTACAAACAGCAGTTTGGCATCTCATTACAGTTTTCTTTTCTTTTCTTTTTGCAAAATTGAGATGATAATATTTGTTTCCCTCTTTTGCAGTGCACTTAAAATATACCTTGAATAAGGTGACATCTCTCCCCTTTGAAAAACCTCAAATAATTTCTGTTTTGGCTATATAAATCTACAATTTTATATACCAACATTTTTACTTCACTCAGTGTTGGTTTATATATTAGTCTAATTTCACGCTGCTGATAAAGACATACCTGAGACTAGGCAATTTACAAACGAAAGAGGTTTAATGGACTCACAGTTCACACGGCTGAGGAGGCCTCACAATCATGGCAGAAGGTGAAAGGCACATCTCACATGGCAGCAGATAAGAGAAGAGAACTTGTTCAGGGAAACTCCCCTTTATAAAACTGTCCGATCTCCCGAGACTTATTCACTATCATGAGAATAGCACAGGAAAGTTCCACCCCCGTGATTCAATTATCTCCCACTGGATCCTTCCCACAGCACGTGGGAATTATGGGAACTACAATTCAAAATGGGATTTGGATGGCGACAAAGCCAACCCATATCATTTTGCCTATGGCCCCTCCCAAGTCTAATGTTGTCACATTTCAAAAGCAATCATGCCTTCCTAACAGTACCCTAAAGTCTTAACTCATTTCAGCATTAACTCAAAACTCCACAGTCTAAAGTCTCATCTGAGACAAGGCAAGTCCTTTTGCCTATGAGCCTGTAAAATAAAAAGCAAGTTAGTTACTTCCTAAATATAATGGGAGTTCAGGCATTGGGTAAATACAGCTATTCCAAATGCAAGAAATTGGCCAAAACAAAGGGGCTACAGGCCCCATGCAAATCCAAAATCCAACAGGACAGTCAATCTTAAAGCACCAAAATGATCTCCTTTGACTCCATGTCTCATATCCAGGTAATGCTGATGCAAGGGGTGGGTTCCCATGGTCTTGGGCAGGTCCACCCATGTGGCTTTGCAGGTTAAAGTCTCCCTCACAGTTACTTTCATGGGCTGGTGTTGAGTGTCTGTGGCTTTTCCAGGTGCACAGTGCAAGTTGTTGATGAAGCTACCATTCTGGGGTATGGAGGATAGTGGCTGTCTTGTTTTCACTCCACTAGGCAGCCCCCCAGTGGGGACTGTTGTACGGGTGCCCATCCCACACTTCCCTTCCACACTGCCCTGCCCCTGCAGCAAACTTCTGCCTGGATATCCAGGTGTTTCCATACATCCTCTAAAATCTAGGCAGGAGTTCCCAAACCTCAATTCTTGACTTTTGTGCACCTGCAGGCTCAATACCACTTGGAAGCTTCCAAAATTTGGGGCTTTCACTCTGAGGCCACAACCCAAATATACGTGGGCCTGGAGAGGTTGGGACTCAGGACACCAAGTCCCTAGACTGCACACAGCAGAGGGACCCTGGGCCCGGCCCATGAAACCATTTTTTCCTCCTATGTCCTCATGTCTGTGATAGCAGGGGGTGCCATGAAGACCTCTGACATGCCCTGGAGACATGTTCCCCATTGTCTTGGTGATTGACATTCAGCTCCTTGTTACTTATACAAATTTCTGCATCTGACTTGATTTTCTCCTCAGAAAATGGGATTTTCTTTTCTACCAAATTATCAGGCTGCAAATTTTCTGAACTTTAATGTTCTGTTTCCCTTTAAAAACTGAATGCCTTTAACAGCACCCATGTCACCTCCTGAATGCTTTGTTGTGTAGAAATTTCTTTTGTCAGATACCCTAAATCATCTCTCTCAAGTTCAAAGTTTCACGAATCTCTAGGGCAGGGGCAAAATTCTGCCAGTCTCTTTCCTAAAGCATACAAGAGTCACCTTACGCCAGTTCCCAACAAGTTCCTCATCTCCATCTGAGACCACCTCAGTGTGGATTTTATTGTCTATATCATTATCAGCAATTTTGTCATAGCCATTCAACAAGTCTCTAGGAAAGTTCCAAACTTCCCCACATTTTCCTGTCTTTTTCTGATCGCTCCAAACTGTTCCAACCTCTGCCTCTTACCCAGTTCCAAATTTGCTTCCATATTTTTAGGTATCTTTACAGCAGTGCCCCATTCTACTGGCACCAATTTACTGTATTAGTCTGTTCTCATGCTGCTAATAAAGACATACCTGAGACTGGGTAATTTATAAAGGAAAGAGGTTTAATGGACTCACAGTTCAACATGGCTGGGGAGGCCTCACAATCATGGTGGAAGGCGAATGAGGAGCAATGTCATATCTTACATGGCAGCAGGCAAGAGAGAAAATGAGATTTGGCTGGAGACACAGCCAAGCCATATCAGTTTATATCTAGTTTCAAAGGGGATATTAAAATATGTACATTCGTTAATATTTATTCTTTCATTTATTCAACAGATTTTTACAGAGCACCTTCTAAATGTCTCCCAATAATGGAAAAGATGATGAGCAGGTCTGACTCAGTTTAAAAGGAACTTATATTCCATGGGAAAAGACACATCAGAAACTGGTAAATCACAATATTGTATGAAAATGAATTTCTAGACAATGGAATTCACCATTCTGTATAAATAAATGAGAAAAGCTTTTAACCAGAGGCCAGGGTAGAAAAAACTTCCCTGAAGAGACAATTTCTAGGTTAGGAACAGAAAAAAGAGTAATAGCCAAGGACAGAAAGGTACAAAGAAGCAAAAAGCATTTCAAACATTGGGAATCGCAGAGGCAAAGGTCAAGCACATTCTGATAACAAAGTTCAATATAGATGGGATGTCAACTGACCTTCATAGAATTAAATAATTCATGGGAAAGCACTTTGAAAAGTGAAATATACTATACAGGTGAAAGGTATTATTATCTCTAATAAATTCTCTCTGGTGGGGAAAAGTGAAAAAATACAGGATTAAAAGTCTATTTAATTTCAAACACAGTATTTTTTTTCCAGGGGCTATAGGCAAAGCATGTAGTTAAGTTTAAATGTCTTTTATTTCTTCTAAATTCCCGGTTTTATTTTGCATTGTGATATTTTGGTACTGCTCTAGAAATTTTTTGGAAAGATTGCATATAACTACTTTTCCCCATAGGGATTTTCTGAAATTTAGTTACATTTGTATCCAGCCCAATTATCTAGTAGGAAGAAATGTTATGAGTGCTATACACATTTATTCAGGGCAAAGTTGTCATAACTGCCTAAGTAAAAAGCAGAAACTCATACATGATGAAATATTTCACTGATACATAATTTACAAAAGATCAGAGAGGGGAGTGAGGGAATTGACTGTCTCATGAGAGGAAAGTCGGTATATCATAGATTTCCAGCACCACTTTGGGGAAAGTGCCTTCTAATGATGAACATTGCTGGGTGGATACAGAGCAGAGATTCTGAACACTCATCCTTCGACAGGCTATGCTAGAATTATGTGTGGCTCAAAAATATAAGACCTTTCCCTCAGAGATGCTGATTCTGTTTCCATAGGAATTTGTAGTTTTATTTATTTTTTTTTAATTTCAATAGGCTTTTGGATACAGATGGCTTTTGGTTAAAAATCAAGTTATTTAGTGGTGATTTCTGAAATTTTAGTGCAATCATTGGTGAAATCTGCTGCATTTAGAACCCTTTTAAGTATAAAATATAATTGACTTTTGACAGCATACACTCTGAGCTTCCACCTCTCTGTTGCCAGTTGGTGAAAATGAGCCCATTCTGCTCTTGTGACAATGGAGTTTCTAGTTTCAAATGATAATTCCTTCTAAAGAATATAGAATCTACAAAGCCATGATGATGAGGTCTGGACCAGTTATAAGAACATATAGTGTAGGAGGCCGAGGCAGGTGGATCACCTGAGGTAAGGAGTTCGAGAACTGGCCAACATGGTGAAACCTCATCTCTACCAAAAATACAAAAAACAAAACAAAACAAAACAAAACAAAAAAAAAAACAATTAGTTGGGCATGGTGGCAGGCACCTGCAATCCCAGGTATTTGGGAGGCTGAGGCAGGAGAACCACTTGAACCTGAGAGGCAGAGGTTTCAGTGAGCCAAGGTCGCACCATTGCACTCCAGCCTGGATGACAAGAGTGAAACTCCATCTCAAAAAAAAAAAAAAGAAAAGAAAAGAAAAAAATAAGGAATATATAGTAGTAAGTGATCTGTTCAGGGTAGTGCTCTGTAGCTTTCAGAGAGAAGAATGCTCTGTAGCTTTCAGTTGTTTCTCTTGCTGAGGCTAAGGGCTTAAGAATATACACACTGTAGATATTTATTGTTTGACATTTAATTAGAGGCCTCAGTTTGCAAGTGGTTTACTCATAATGGGGTAATATCCTCGTCTGAAATGTACAGTGATTTGTGTCCTTTGAGGAGGAATTTATTATTTAGTAAATGAACACAATTTAATATATCTTTAAAATGCTACATTTTGAAACTATGAGAGAAGAATGGCATACATTACAAAGCGAGCAATTACAATTTTAGGAAATATTTATCAAATCTTACTGTCCATTACAACCAAAAAAGCAACAATCAAATAATGGAGATATCCTAACAATTAATAACATAGCCTTTCATCATTGAGTTAAAAACAATGTAAGTGTTGGAATGCTAACACAACTTGTTGAATTATAATAGATATAAGGATACCAGTGACTATTTTTATCATTTCAATGCAAGTGGCCATAAAATTGTAGTGGAATCAGGATTTCAGTTCAATATGGCTCAGATAATATGCACAACCTTTTCTATGTTTCTAAGAATGTGATTCCTCAGATACTCAAAGAATAATGTTTATAGCACCAAAGTCTGTAGAGTTTCTCTCTATAATGGTCCTCATTATTCAATGTATAATTTAAAATGAAATATCATGAAGAGACTTTATTGCGCAAAGTCCAACATTTTGTATGTAATAGGAACTGAGGTAGACAAGCCTTTAGTTCAAGGATTTATGTTAATTTGACTCAGGAGTTGGATTGCACTTAATGTTTATGGTAACTCTCAGGGCCATGGGCTTAAATTCCTCTAGGGTCCTTGTTTCTATCTCCCCTCCTGTCACTGAGCTTCCCTAAGAACTGCTTCTCAGAAAGAGTCTGCATCTTTCGGCCCTGTCAACTGTAATCAACTGCTATTATACTGGAATCCTATTGGAGTAACAGTACAAGGACTAGAGAGAAACTTGCTCTGATTTTGTAACAAAATTTGTCTTTTAATCAGTCTGTTTCTTTGTGCTCTAACATCCCCATATAGCTTTCCAGTGCTCTTGGGTTTTACCGCCTTTTCCCTTGGGAAGTAAGTCTTTTTAATGGAGAAAAAAAAAAGGCTTTTTTGGCTTTTCATAATAATTACTCTTCCCCCATACACCCACCCACCAGAGCACTGAGAGGATCTTTCTCAGATCTTCAATGTAAAACTATGGTGGGGTTCCTGGAGGTAAAACCGACAAACGTTGAGGGCTGCCTAAGCCTGTCTCTAGTAGTTTCTCACTGCACTTTATAACTCCAGAACCTTCTGCTTCATGTGAGCAAGTCTCAGCTGTAACTATTAGGATTCATCTGTCTCTCAATATTTCCCAATATGGTTTGCTGTACAACCTCAGTTTTCCAGTATGTCCAAGAAAAGGTGTTAATTTTCCATCTGTTCAGCTTTCTTTAGTCATAAAGAGAAGAGTGACATTTTCAAAACTCTTCATATATTAAATCTAAAACAGTAAGTCCTTATTATTTTGATTTAATTTACATGTCTCTAATGACTACTGACATTGAAAACTTTTTCATGTAATTATTTATTATTAGTATATCTTTATCTTTTAAGTGTCCAATTTCTTTGCTCATTTTACTTTGGTTATGTTATGGGTGAATTACATAGTCCCAAAAAGTCATATGTTAAAGTTCTAATACCTTGTACCTCAGAATGTGAATGTATGTGGGGAATGAGTCTTTAAAATGCAATGAAGGTTAATAAGGTTCTGAAAGTGAGCCTTAATCCCTTAAGACTAATGTCCTCATAAGGATTGAAGATTAGGACACAAACACAGAGGGCCAGGCATGTGAGGACACAGCGATTAAGGTATTTGCAAGCCAAGAAGTGAGACCTCAGAAGAAACCAAACCTGCAGACACTTTCATCTGGAATTTCTAGCCTCCAGAATTGTGAGAGAGTGAGTTTCTGCTGTGTAAGCCACGCAGTCTACAGTATTGTGCAATGGCAACCTCAGAAATCTAATACAAGTTGAATAGAGTCCCCCCAGAATTAATGTCTACCCAGAACCTCAGAATATGACTATTTGGAAATAGGTCTTGGGAGATATAGTTAGGGATCTCAAGGTATAATCATCCTGGATTTAGGTATAACCCTAAATTCAAAGACAGTTGTCTTCATAAAAAGGAGAGAGGACATAGACACACACAGAGTAAAAGGTTATGTGATGTTAGATACAGAAATTGAAGTAATGAAAAGGATGGTCCTCAACCACCAGAATCTAAGAAGCATGGGACAATTTCTTCCACAGAGCCTCCAAAGAAGGAACCAACCCCACTGATGCCTAGATTTCAGATTCCCTCTAAAACTATGAGAAAAATAAATTTCTTTTATTTTAAGCTACAAGTTTGTGGCAATTTGTTAAGGCAGCCATGGGACACTAATACACATCTTTTTATTCATTGTTTAAATGTCTTTATAACACCACTCATATTTCATTGCCCAATATGACATAGCAAAAATTGGTAACAATGGGTCCTAGATGTGTAATTTCCTCTGGGAATAACAGTACATATTAGGGGATAATAATGTAGTCTACTACACTCAGTTTTTGTATTTTTATATGTGTAAATTATAAACATGTACTTTTATCCTAATGTGTGATAAATATCTGACATACGCAAACTATGAATGGGTATGATAAAGCTAGATTATATATTAATTTAATAATATTAATTTAATGATATTGATTAATGCCATAAAATTCACATAGTCCTCACTGTGATTGAAAATGCTACATTTTAAATTAAAAATTTGCTAAAATAATTTTGTGATATTGCATTTAAAGGTTTAACGTCCAAGTTTTGTTTACTTGCATATCTGATTATATTGGCTATCATAAATGGAAAAGATATATAGCAGATTATGTATATCCAAATGGAAGAAGGGTGTCCTTTGCTGTGCACTCTAAATCACTGAACATCTTTTTCAGTCTTATATCACATTATGCAAAAATTTATCTCAAATACGTTGATTTTTTATTCACAACATTTTCAAAACCTGCTGTAACTCTTTATTTGAAAGATTTTTACATAGGATAGAATATTTGTTTCCAAAATTTCTGCTCCCCGCCCCACAGAACATATCTGTTAGTTTTTATTTTTGAACTTCATCATAAATTTAAGTAGCAAATTGCCTAACAGTGGAAACATTTCAAAAACATGCATTTTAAAAAACGCTTTCTACATAACATAATATTTTTTTAAGTAAGAATTGCTTTCTCTTTATCTTTCTAAAAATGTTTCCCTTGCTTTAAAGGGAATGATTACGTATTCCATTTCTCTGTCAAAATCTCTGTTACATACTCCTAACCTGTCTTTTGTTATGACAGATATAGTCAACAAATGTGGAATAGTCAAGTTTTGTTACCTCATCTAAAGTACTACATGAACAGTTAACCAGCATCCCTATGTGAAGTAAAAAACCTTTCCGATAAATTCTCATCTTGTTAAGTGGTATTATAAAGCATGGTAATAATTATTTGTTATCTTTAGTTAACTATATTGATAACCTCCTTAAAACTTTAACTTTAAATTATGTGTTACATTGAATTACCTCTACATTATGATGTTAATTCATTTCATAGGTTCATCAATTTTTCTATTTCATATCATAGGTAAATTAATACATCATAAGGTTTTTTAACTTCAAATTTTCTTGGTAAAATATTAAAAAATAACTATTCTTGAATAGATTATTCTTTTAACCTCAAAATAGTTCCATTAGACTGCTTATATATACTAAGACTGATTGTCAAAACTATCCTCTTCTTATTCACGTATGCTTACGTGAAATATTTGTTTATAATAATTAAAGTATACACTCTTTGGGGGTTCAGTTCCTTAAAGTTGAGGGATGTGATATGTAAGTCCACATAACCTGCAATACATTGCAGTAGGATGTAGCAATGAAGAATGTAGTTGTCACTGTGCTGGCCTCCAGGTTTCCCATATCAGGTGACTAGCATGTAACAGGCAACCACCTTTCAAACAAGCAAAACCATGTTTTCAGATTTAAACATAATTATTAAAATCACTTGTGATATTATTTCCACACTAACTATTCTCTGGTGCACATTGACAGAGTTTTATGATGCAACTTTGAGCAGTATGCCCCTAGAGGAAAATTCAAATTGTCTTTCTTACCCAAACTTCTACAATATCAGTTTCCGTCCTGCTCCTTATTCCTCATTTTGGCCAATGCTACAGGAAAGAAACAACAAACAAAATCAAGACACAGAAGAAGAAACAAGAAGTCCACATAAATAACTTAATATTTTAGAAATTCTTCTGAGAAAGTCTTTTAGCTTTAAATTTTTATTGGTTTGTGTTAAACGCTTTAAGACATAATTCACATTCCATATAATTATTCTAGGTAAAGTTTACAATTCAATGGCTTTTAAAACACAGAGTTGTGAAAATATGACCATGCTCAAATTTTAAGATATTTTTATCACCCCTTCAAAAAAAAAAAAAAAAACCCTGACATTAGTAGTCACTTTCCATCTTCCAATCTGACCTCTGCCTTCAGGCTTTAGCGGCACTAATCTACTTATTGTCTCTATACATTTGCCTATTCTGGACATTTCATATAAATAAAATCACATAATGTTTTCTTGTTGTAATTGGCATCTTTTATTTAGCATGCTGTTTTCAAGGTTCATCCATAGTTTAGTGGACATTATTACTCCATTCTTAGTTATTGCCTAATAATATCCCACTGTGTGAACATACCATATTTTCAAGACTCATTCACCAGTTGATGAACATCTGGATTTATTTCTGCTTTTTGGCTATCATAATAATGCTGCTATGAACATTTGTGTACAAATATTTATGCAGACATACATTTTTATTTTTGTTTGATGTAAATGTAGACATGGAATTGCTGTATGCTAAGAACTCTATATTTAAGAGTTTAAAGAACCATCAGGATTTTTTCAAAAGCAACTGTGCCACATTACATTACTACACACACACACACACACACACACACACACACACACACACAAAATGTATGATGGTTCCAATTTCTCCATATCCTCATTGATATCATTTGGATGTTTATCCCTTCCAAATCTCATGTTGAAATGTGATCCCCAGTGTCACAGGTGGGGTCTGGTGGGAGGTGTTTGGGTCATGGGAGTAGATCCCTTACGAATGGCTTGGTGCTGTCTTCATGGTAATGAGTGAGCTCTCATTCTATCAGCTCATGTGAGAGCTGGTTGTTTAAAGGTGTGACACCTCCCCCCATTTCTCTCTCACCCCCTGTTATCCCACAAGGCAATACACAGGTGGATCCCCCTTTGCCTTTTGCCACTATTGTAATCTTCCTAAGGCCTCTCCAGAGGCAGATGCTGGCACTATTCTTCTCTCATACAAACTACAGAAACATGAGCCAAATAAGCCCCTTTTTCCGTATAAATTATATGGTCTCACTTCTTCCTTTACGGAAATGCAAAATGCACTAACACACGCATGAACTCTTACTATTGCCAGTTATTTTTATTATAGCCATCTCATTGAATGTGGACTGGTATCTCATTGCAGATTTGATTTGCATTTCTCTAATGGTCAATGATTTTGAATATCTTTTCATGGCTTATTGGACATTTGTGTATCTTCTTTGGACAAATATCTATTCATATATTTTGCCCATTTAAACAATTTTCTTGAGGTAAAAATATACATACATAATTTGTCATCTTCACCATCTTTAAGTGTACAGTCCATTGATAATAAAATATGTATATACTTTTTCTTTTCCTCTTTATCTCCCTTCCCCACTCCTGTTCTCTGCCTCTGTAACCACCACTCTACTCTCCATCTTCATGAGATCCAATTTTTTAGCTCCTGCCTATGAATGAGAACATACAATTTTGTCTTTTTGTGCTTGTAATGACTTCCAGTTCAATCCATGTTGCTGAAAATAATGATGCTTTATTCTTTTTTTATTGCTGAATAGTTTTCCATTGTGTATATAAACCACATTTTCCTTATCCATTCATCAACTGATGGACACCGAGGTTGATTTCATATTTTGACTATTGTGACAGTGTTGAAATAAACATGGGAGTGCAGATATATCTTTGATATATCAATCTCCTTTTGTTTTTGAATATATACCAAATAGTGGAATTGCTGGATCAAATAGAAGTTCTATTTTCAGTTTTTTTAAAGGAACCTGCATACTGTTCTACATAGTGTTTGTACTAACTTACATTCCCACCAACAGTGTATGAGGGTCCGCCTTTCTCCAAATCTTCTCTAGCATCTGTTACTGCCTGTCTTTTGATGTAAGCCACTTTATCTGGGGTGAGATAAAATCACGTTGTCGTTTTAATTTGCATTTCTCTAATGATTAGTGGTGCTGAGAATTACTTTCATACACCCATGGCCATGTGTATGTTTTCTTTTGAGAAATGTCTGTTCTGGTCTTTTGTCCATTTTTTAATTAGCTTATTTTTTTTTTGCTCTTGAGTTGTTTGAGCTCCTTATATATTCTAGTTGTTAATTCTTTGTTAGATGGGCAGTTCATAAATATTTTCTCCCATATGATGGGTTCTCTATTAACTTTTTTGCTTGTTTCCTTTTCTGTACAGAAGATTTTCAGCTTGATGGAATCCCTATTATCTATTTTTGCTTTGGTTGCCTGTACTTTTGAGGTTACGTAAAAAAAAATCTTTGCCCAGACTAATATTATTTTCTAGTCGTTTCATAGTTTCAGGTTTTAGATTCAAGTCTTTAATCCATTTTTATTTGATTTTGTGTATGGTGAGTGTATCAGCCTGTTTTCACACTGCTGATAAAGACATACCCAAGACTGGATAATTTACAAACAAAAAGAGGTTTATTGGGGGGTGGAGGGGTAGGGGAGCGATAGCATTAGGAGAAATACCTAATGTAGGTCACGGGTTGATGGGTGAAGCAATCCACCTTTGCTCATGTATGCCTATGTAACAAACCTGCACGTTCTGCACATGTACCCCAGAACTTACAGTATGATAAAAAAAAGGAAAATAAAATAAAAGAAAGAGAGGTTTAATGGACTCACAGTTCCACATGACTGGGGAGGCCATAAAATCATGGAGGAAGGAGAAAGGCATGTCTTACATAGCGGCAGACAAGAGAGAATGAGAGCCAAGCAAAAGGGGAAACCCCTTATAAAATCATCAGATCATGAGACTTATTCACTACCATGTATGAGGGAAACCACCCCTATGATTCAATTATCTCCCACCGGGTCCCTCCCACAACACGTGGGAGTTATGGAGGCTACAATTCAAGATGAGATTTGGGTGGGGACACAGCCAAACCATATCAGTGAAAGATAAGAACTTAGTTTCATTCTTCTGCATATGGATGAGCATTGAAAAAACTCTCCTTTCTCCATTGCAAATTCTTAGCACCTTTCTTGAAAATGAGTCTGTGATAAATGTGTGGATTTATATCTATGTTCTCTATTCTGTTTCAGTGGCCTATGTGTCTATTTTGATGCCAGTACCATGCTATTCTGGTTACTATATCTTTGTAATAAATTTTGTAATCGGGTAGTGTGATGCCTCAAACTTTGTCCTTTTTGTTCAGGATTGATTTGGCTATTTGGAATCTTTTGTGGTTCCATATAAATTTTAGGATTTGTTTTATATTTCTGCAAAGAATGTCATTGGTATTTTGAAAACGATTGCATTGAATCTATAAATTGCTTTCAGTAATATTTCCATTTTAAAAATATTAATTCTTCTGATCTATGAGCATGGAATATTTTTTGTGTCTCCTTTAATTTCTTTTATCATAGTTTTATAGTTTTCCTTGAATAGATATTTTATTTCTTTAGTTAGATTTATTCCTAGGGACTTCATCTTTTTGCAACTATTGTAAATGGGATTGCTTTCTTGATTTCTTTTTCAGATTTTTAGCTGTTGGCATATAAAAGTGTTACTGATTTCCATATCTTGCTTGTGTTTCTTGCAACTTTGCTGAATTCATTTATCAATTTGGTGGAGTCTTTAGGATTTTCTATCTATAAAGATAACACTCTCTGTGTACCAGGCTAATTTGACTTCTTCGTTTCCAATTTGGATGCCCTTTATGTCTTTGTCTTGCCTAATTTCTTTAGCCAAGACTTCCAGTATTATGGTGAATAATAGTGAAAGTGTGCATCCTTGTCTTATTCTAGTATTTAAAAGAAAGGCATTTGAGTTATCCCCATTCAGTATGATAGTTGTATTTTATAAATGATCTTCATTATTCTGAGGCATTTTCCTTCTATACCCATTTTGATGAGCATTTTTATCATAAAGGGATGTTTTTATCAAATGCTTCTTCAGCATCTATTGAAAGAATTATATAATTTTTATTGTTGATTCTGTTAATGTAATGTTTTGCATTTATTGATGTAGTGTTTTGCATTTATTAAGGATGTTGAACCATCCTTGCAACCTCAGGATGAATCCCAGTTAATCGTGATGAATGATATTGTTAGTGTTTTGTTGTATTCTGTTTGTTAATATTTTGTTGAGGATTTTTGCATCAGTGATATTGCCCTGTAGTTTTATTATTGTTTTCATTGTTGTTGTTTCCTTGTCTGGTTTTGGTATCAGGGTTATGCTGGCCTTATGGAATGAGTTTGGAAGTATTCCCTCTTCCTACATTTTTTTGAATATTTTGAGTAGGACTAGCATCAGCTTTTCATTAAAAGTTTAGTAGAATTCAGCTGTCAATCGATCAAGTCCTAGGTTTTCTTTGGAGAGTTTGAATTACAGCTTTAATCACATTACTTGTTACTGATTTCCTGAGGTTTTCTGTTTCTTCATGGTTCAGTCTCATAGGTTGTAGGTATCCAGGAATTTATCCATTTCTTCTAGGTTTTCCAATTTGTTGGCATATAGTTGTTAATAATAGTCTCTAATGAGTATTTGTATTTCTTAGGTCTCAGTTGTTATATCTTCTACATATGTAGGCTGAAAGTGAAGGAGTGAAAACAGGTATTTTATGCAGCTGAAAACCAAAAAAGAGCAGAAGTAGCTATAGTCATATCAGATAAAATAGACTCCAAATCAAAGACTAAAGTAAGATAAGGAAGATCACTATATCATGATAAAAGAGTCAATTCAGCAAGAAGATATAACAATTATACATATGTATGGAACCAACACTGGAACTCCTAAATATATAAGACAAACATTAATAGATTAAAGGCAGTGATAGATTGCAATACAATAACAGTAGGAAATTTTAATACCTCATTCTCAGTAATGAACAGAAATGAGAGAAAATCAACAACAATAACAAAGTGAAGTTAAAGTACATGCTAAATCTAGTAAACCTAAGTGACATTTATAGAACAGAACTGCTACAGAATACACAGTCTTTTCATCAGCACATAGAGCATTTTTCAGAACAGACTATATCTTAGGTTAGAAAGAAGTCTATACAAATTTAAAAAAAAGCAGAAATCATATTGACTATCTTCTCTGACCACACTAGAATAAAACTGGAAATCAATACCAAGAGGAACCTTGTAAAACATACAAACATATGGAAATTAAACAAAATGTTATGAAGGACCAATGAGTCAATAAAACAATGAAAAAATTTTAAATTTCTTGAAACAAGTGAAAATGGAAATACAACATACCAAAATCTATGGGATATAGTAAAAGCAGTATTAGGGGGGATTTTTATATCAATAAACACTTATACCAAAAAAGTAGAAGGACTTCAAATAAATAACCTAACACTGCACCTCAGGGAACTAGAAAAGCAAGAACAAACCAACCTCAAAATTAGTAGAAGGAAAGAAATAATAAGGATAAGAGCAGAAATAAATGAAATTGAGACAAAAATACAGAAGATTAGTAAAATAAAAATTCGGTTTTCCGGAGATAAAATTAACAAACCTTTAGCAAGACTAAAAAAAGAGAGAGAGAGAGGACTTTTGCCCATTTTTAATTGAGCTTTATTTATTATTGAGTTATGCTTTGTATATATTCTGAATAAAATTCCATTATCAGATATATGATTTATAAACATTTTCTCTGTGGCTTTTTCTTTCACTTTCTTGATGATCTACCTTGAAGCACAAAGGCTTTTAATTTTGAAGAAATTCAATTTATCAATATTTTATTTTGTCCCTAGTGCTTTTAGTGTCAGATCTGAGAAACAACTGACTAACACATTGTCATGAAGAGTTACTTTCATGTTTTCTTCAAAGACTATTATGGTTTTAGTTCTTATATTTAGGGTTATGATCCATTTAAAATTATTTTCTGGTATAGTAAGTAACGGTACAAATTCATTCTTCTACATGTAGATATCTAGTTGCCCCTTGTAACATTTGTGGGTATAAAACTATTCTTTCCCCCATTGAATTACCTTGGCACTGCTTCTAAAATTAATTGACCAAAAATATAAGGGTTTATTTTTAGACTCTCCATTTTATTTCATCAATCTGTAGCAACAAGATATATTCAATAATTTTGAACTCTCCAAAATTATTAAATATATTCCATCCGATAATATTTTTGTACTCTTCATTTTATTCCACTGTCTACACATATGCTAATGCCACATTCACATGCATACTTCTGCTTTGAAGACAAATTTTATGAATTATGAGTCCTCCAATTTTGTCCTTCCTTTTTACTATAATTTTGGCTCTTCTGTATCCCTGGCATTTCCATATAAATTTAAAAATCAACTTGTCAGTAACTACAAAAAAGAAAGCTGGAAATTTAATAGGGATTGTTTTGAATATGTAGATCAATTTGCAAGTATTGTTTTGTTAACAATATTACATCTTCTCTTTAATGAACAGGCATTTCTTACCATTTACTTGGGTCTTTACTTCTTTTTATTATTATTATTATTATACTTTAAGTTTCAGGATACATGTGCACAACATGCAGGTTTGTTACATATTTATACATGTGCCATGTTGGTGTGCTGCACCCATTAACTCATCATTTAGCATTAGGTATATCTCCTAATGCTATCCCTCCCCCATCCCCCCACCCCACGACAGGCCCCGGTGTGTGATGTTCCCCTTCCTGTGTCCATGTGTTCTCATTGTTCAATTCCCATCTATGAGTGAGAACATGTGGTGTTTGGTTTTTTGTCCTTGTGATAGTTTGCTGAGGATGATGCTTTCTCTAGAACTCATCATTTCTTATGGCTGCATAGTATTCCATGGCGTATATCTGCCACATTTTCTTAATCCAGTCTATCATTGTTGGACATTTGGGTTGGTTTCAAGTCCTTGCTATTGTGAATAGTGCCGCAATAAACATACGTGTGCATGTGTCTTTATAGCAGCATGATTTATAATCCTTTGGGTCTTTACTTCTTTTCACAAATATTTTATAGTTTTCAGACTATCTACAAATCTTGCACTTACTTCTCCTGCTAAATTTACCCCTAATTACTAAATTTCTTTTCTAATTTTTAAATTTATTCCTTTTCCTAAATTTATTCCTATAAACTGAAAGAGTTTATAGTGTATATTCACTTTTAATCTTGATAATATTCAGATACTGGCTTTTAATGTTAAATTTATATCTGGACTCTTGAACATACATATACATAAATACATACACTCACTGTTATTACCTCATATTTATTTACATTTCTCAGCAAGATACATGGAAAATTTATTTGAAGAAGGAACTGAATCAAGAATAAATTCAATTAAACCATTAAACCCTGTTTTGGGACAGTTGAAGATAATAGGTTAAGCATGGCAGCTGTTGATACCTAGCTTTGAGCAATTTAAAGATTGAAATTAGTAATTAGTAATTTGTACATTATTCAATTTATGGAATTATTTATTTATTAGAATATAAATATAGCTGTTACTGTTTTGTAATAATATTTTGTGTGAAAAAGGAGGATAAGTGATTAGAGCAAAATATTCAGAAGAGAAATGAGGAAAATGGGAGTCAATTTTGCATCCTTTAATGTGGTAAGCAGAAAAAAAATGCCTCCCCAATAAATATTAATTTTCTAATCCATGGAACAAGTGAATATTGTCTTCTGTGGAGAAAGAGTTAATACTACTCTATGTATGGCAAGATGTGATTATGCAAATGACCTTGAGAGGAGGAGATTGTCTAGGTGGGCCTTAAATCCTAAATCCAATGACAAGTGTCCTTATCAGAAATAGAAGAGACCGGGCGTGGTGGCTCATGCCTGTAATCCCAGCACTTGGGGAGGACGAGGCAGCTGGATCACCTGAGGTCAGCAGTTCGAAAGCAGCCTAGCCAACATGGTGAAACCCCGTCTCTACTAAAAATACAAAAATTAGCCGGGCATGGTGGTGGTTGCCTGTAATCCCAGTTACTTGGGAGGCTGAGGCAGAAGAATCGCTTGAACTCAGGAGGCGGAGGTTGCAGTGAGCCAAGATGGTGCCAATGTACTCCAGCCTGGGTTACAAGAGTGAAACTCCATCAAAAAAAAAAGAGAGAGAGAAAGAGTGAGAGAGAGAGAAAAAAAGAAGGAAGGAAGAAAGGAAGGAAGGAAGGAAGGAAAAAAGAAAGAAAGAAAGAAAAAGAAAGAAAGAGACAGAGAGAGGAAGGAAGGAAGGAAGGAAAGAAAAGGAAAGAAAGAAAAGAGAAGAGAATAAGACACAAAAATGAGAAGACAATATGAGGACAGGGGCAGAGAGTTAAGTAATATGCCATTAGCCAGCCACCAGCAACAGGAAAAAGCAGGAAAAGTATCTCCTCTGGAGCTTCTAGAGGAAGTACGGTCCTGCCAACATCTTCATTTTAGAATTTTATCCTTTGCAGCTGAAAGAGGATATGTTTCATTGTTTTAAACCAACAAGTTTGTGGTAATTTGTCACAGCAGTGCTAAGAAATGAATACATTTCCTCTCAGAAATAATTGATCTGGCCTTTAATATTTCTGGTTTTAGATTTATCTTAGCTATTTAAAATATTTTTATGTAGTATGTAGTCAAAGTATTAAATTAATCATTTAAACCTTACCAAGGAGATTTTAGCATTTTAAATTATAAATATGATTTCTCTAGAATAAGTTTCTATGTTTTGTTAAAATATAGCTTAATTCAAAATTTAAAAGAACACAATACATATGTGTGATTACCACTGAAAAATTAAGAATATAGGAGAGGCTTTGTTACATATATTAAATACAGAATATTATAAATTTAAGGCCAATTTACACTTTAATTTTCCCTGGTAGTTCCTAGCCCAAAACGTAATTATGAGACATTGTACTACTGTTATATGTCACAAAAGAATCAACAGATTTAATTCTTCAATGTGTATATAAATTGAAAGGGACAATTTAAATTTGCTCAGACATTTACAAATAACTGTAATATCCACTGGAACAATTCTATTGCCAGAGTAAATGTGTTTTACCTTATATTACCTTTCCATGTAGAATGAGATAATTGCCAAAATCACTCTGCAAATATAAAACTAGGTTTTATATCTCAGAGTTGCATAGTAATTGTAGACTCATAATAAAGAAAAGCCATATAAAAATCTCAGATAACATATACAACGTGAACATGCCTCTCTAATAAAAGCTTATCACCAGGGGCTCATTGTAAGATTCTCTGTTACATGCAAAAACTAAGTCTTAGATTACAGACATGGGAAGCATGTGGGAAAGATACCAAGTTAATTCACTTGAAGGCATTTGATTTGATGCCAGAGCAGTTTATTAATTCCTAAACCAATCTGAACTTTATAATACTTTTTTCTGTTATAAGCTAGCTTCAAGTTAATAGATAATGTATTCATTCCCATTCATAATTCCACTTCATCATGTGAGAAAAGCGTATACCACAAAATGTTTATTGCATTTTTATGAAGACTCTTACAGATTAACTTAACAACAGAAACTTATTATTGGTTAGGCTAAGCGCTAGTTCTTTCCTTATGTAGGCCATCCACAAGCCTATTTTGCCATGAATGGAAATGACCCATTTGCTATCTTTAAGTCAAGTATTTTGTCTTCTTCTTTCTTATAGGTCCATAACCTAGCACTGTGCCCACTTCAGGGCAGATGCTGACATTAAAGTGGGCTGAATATTGAATAGTTTGCTTGCTGCTCTTTCAAAACATATTTTATTAATAATATTTTTTACAGTTTACAGTTAAGAACTTGGTGTTTGAAGACAAGTCACTTTGGTTCAACTCTAACCTTTACCACCTACTTTTCAGTCTCATATTTCCTTGTTGAGAAAGTTGTGATAATAATACCTGTTTTACGGGGATGTGATTAAAGTAAAATGAGATGATGTATGTAGAGGTTTCAGCACAGATAGGTTTCCCTTAAACGTTAAAGCCTCAACATAAAATGTACCATTTACCATTTACATGTTTTAAAATGACAGAGCACTTCACTCTTAAAATATCTGTTTCAATAACATTGGGAGCATTGAATTCATAAGTTAATTCTAAGATTCTTTGAAGCAGGATTTTTCTTGATATTAACAAGAGATGTCAAGGATAAGTTTTCACGCAACTTCCCTGTGGCTGACTGACACAACTGAAGACATCATTAACTGAAAGATACAGTCTGTTTTCACAGAAGTTAAAATAAATAATTTTTTTAAATGAATTTATGAAATAATATGAATATAACTGGCTTTTCTCTAGGAAAAAAAAATGTATTTAAAAAAAAAAACTGTTGACTTTGCCCTCTGGCATGTCACCTGATTTATGCCCATGGAACTGAAGGTCTTGCTCACCTTTAATGACCCTCCACTGACTTTGCCTGAACATTCTTCCCTTTTCCATTAGTCCACATCACTATATTCACCCTCTCAAGCTCATGCCAATGTTTAAAACACTTCTATTCTTTGGACTTCTGCTCTAGTTTTTATTATTTTTTTTAAAGAAAAATATCATTCCTTCCAGATATCAAGGCAGGGCTTCATGGCAGACCAGTGGAGTAAAACATTTAAGATATACATTGACAACCTATCCAGGCTGTCACATGACCCACCTTCATGTAAACTAATTAACAAAATGGATATTTCTTCATTTTCTCACCACCTTTTGAGGCCCAACTTTGACAAATTTCTAGAAAATTGTATTTAAAACATTTATTGGAAAATACACCATTTATTTATTTAAATACTGTAGTAATATATGCATAAGGTAAAAATTCAAATATATAAGAATTTAAGTATGGTACTGTATCACTTACCAAAAGGGATATGTTCTGAGAAATGCATTGAAAGGCGGTTTTGTTGTGTGAACATCACAGAACGTACTTACACAAGCCTACGTGGTGTAGCCTACTACACTCCCAAGCCATATGGTGGAGCCTATTGTTCTTAGGCGACAAACCTATACAGCATGTTACTATACCGACTATTGTATACAATTTTAAAGCAGTGATATTTGAGTATCCACACATATCTAAACATAAAAAGATACAGTAAAAATGTAGTATAAACTATTTAAAAAATGGTGCACCTGTATAGAACACTTACCATGAATGGATCTTGCAGGACTAAAAGTTGCTCTGGGTAAGTCAGTGAGTGAGTGGTGACTGAAGGTGAAGTCCTTGAACACTAGCATACAGTACTGTAGACTTACCAACAATGTACCCTTGGGCAGGGTTTGGTGACTCACATCTGTAATCCCAGCACTTTGGGAGGCTGAGGGGGCAGATCACAAGGTCAGGAGATTGACATCATCCTGGCTAACACGGTGAAAATCTGTCTCTACTAAAAATACAAAAAAATTAGCCGGGCATGGTGGCACGCACCTGTAGTCTCAGCTACTCGGGAGGCTGAGGCAGGAGAATAGCTTGAATCCAGGATGTGGAGGTTGCAGTGAGAAGAGATCGCGGCACTGCACTTCAGCCTGGGTGACAAACTGAGACAAAAAAAAAAAAAAAAAAAGTACCCTTAGGTTATACTAAATTTATTTGAAATATTTTATTTCTTTAATAATGAATGAAGCTTAGTTTAACATTTTTACTTTATGAACTTTTAAATTTTTTCACTATTTTGTAATAACAGCCTAAAGCACACACATTGTATAGATGTAAAAAATATTTTTTCTTCCCTGTTGTGTAAGCTTTTTTCTATTTAAATTTTTTTTTTTTAATTTTACTTTTTAAACTTTTTTGCTAAGAGTTAGGACACAAACATACACATATTAGCCTATTCCTACACAGGGTCAAGATCATCAATATTACCATCTTCCACCTCCACATCTTGTCCCAGTGGAAGGTCTTCAGGGGCAATAAAATAAAGCTATCATCTCCTGTAACAATGATTCTTCTGGAGTAAGTCCTGAAGAATCTGCTGAGACTATTTTATTGCTAACTTTTTATATTTATAATTAAAAGGAGTATACTGTAAAATAATATTAAAAGTGTAGTAAATACACAAATAACAGTAATTTATTATCAGGTATTGTGTACTGTACTTGCTAATACTTTTTCCTGCTATAAGCTAGCTTCAAGTTAATAATATATTCATTTCTACTTTATTAGCAATTATTGTGTACAGTACACAATATTATTATCAATAATTCACATAAAATAGGCTTGTTTAATATCACCACAAACACGTCAGTAATGCATTGTGCTATGACATTATGATGCCTACTTTGTCAATAGACAATAGGAATTTTTCAGCTCCACTATAATCATATCAGACCACCATCATATATACGGTCTATCATTGACCTAAATGTTGTTATGTGGCACCTGCCTGACTGTACAATGCTAAATATTTTTCCTGTTTCACAGTTCCATTCTCCAATGCAAATTAACTTTAAATGATATGGTGCATATTTCTAGATAACTGTCAGTCTGTTGCTGTCTTCCTTTCTTTCTGTGTCTTTCATATGCATATCATCTTTCAGAAGAAATATTTTTCTATTTGTGAATGGCATAATATGCTTATTTATGTTTAGTATTTTTCTTCCTTTTTATTTATTTATTTATTTTTTTTGAGATGGAGTTTCGCTGTTTCACCCAGGCTGGAATGAACTGGCGTGATCTCAGCTCACTGCAACCTCTGCCTCCTGGGTTCAGGCAATTCTCCTGCCTCAGCCTCCTGAGTAGCTGGGATTACACATGCCTGCCACCACTCCTGGCAAATTTTTGTATTTTTAGTGGAGACAGGGTTTCACCATGTTGGCCAGGCTGATCTTGAATTTCTGACCGCAGGTGATCCACTCACCTAGGCCTCCCAAAGTGCTAGGATTACAGGCGTGAGCCACTGTGCCCGGCCTTTTCTTCCCTTTGTTAAAAAATACTACATTAGAGACTTTTCTCATAGATTTATATCATTGTTTGTAAAGGTTTTGTAATATTTCATAGTATGGCAGATGAGTATAGACTCATCATAATATATTTAACTCTTGGATTGCTTACTAATTTTTTCCTTTTAAATGATGTGCTGAAATGGAAATTTTTGACTACATAGCTTTGGCTATATATGCAAGCACTGCTGTAGGAGAGAGTACTAGTAATGAAATTATTGGTCAAATGATGTGTTTACTGAAAACTTTGATATAGTGTCTATCAGCCTTTATAAAGATAATGCAAATTTATATCTCCAACAAAGAGTATGTGAATATTGATTTCTAACACTCTTAGCAATACCATACATGAACATTACTTTTATTGCTATAGTTTTCTTGGTCACTTAATTTAAAATAAAATCTGTTTTCAAGAATGTATCTATTTTTATTTCTGGGGTCATTCTACTTCTTTATATGCTTATGTTATATTATTTCTTCTGAGAACTGACTTTACTTTTATTACACAAATTTTCTAATGTTATTTGCTTTTATTTTGGAAGATATTTACACAGGAGGACTTCAAAAATTTGTGGAAAATTGAATTAAAGGAGAAATAGTAAAATTGTAAAATTTATTTCTCATTATAAGTTTCATCAAGTTCAAGACACTTTTGTAGGTGATAGTACCATTAATTTCATCCATCCATCTCAAAAGAATTGCAGGTCTTGAGAATTTAACCATGTCAATGGTTCATTACATTATTAACTAAAGAAAAATGGGTTTCCTTTAGAGATTGTTTTTAATATCAGGAAACAAAAAGAAGTCAGAAGGAGCCAAATCAGGACTTTAAGGTATAAATATAATGATTTCCCATGAAAATTCTCATAAAATTGACCTTGTTTGAAGAGAGGAGTGAGCAGGAACATTGTCGTGGTGGAGAAGGGCTCTTGGCGAAGCTTTCCTGGGTGCTTTTCTCCTAAAGCTACGGCTGACTTTCTCAAAACACTCTCATAATAAACAGATGTTATCATTCTTTGGCCTTCTGGAAAATCAATAAGCAAAATGCATTGCGTATCCCTTAAAACTGCTGCCTTGACCTTTGTTCTTGACTGGTCTGTTTTTGCTTTACCTGGACCAATTTCACCTCTTGGTAATTATTTCTTTGCTTGTGCTTTGCCTTCAAAATAGTCTGGGTAAAGCCATGTTTTATCACCTGTTCCAATTCTTTGAAAAAATGCTTTATAATTGTTATCCCACTTGTTCAAAATTTCCACTGAAAGCTCTACTGTTGTCTACAGCTGACTGGGCACAATGGTTTTGGCACCCATCAAGTATAAAGTTTGCTCAAGTGTAATTTTTAGTCAAGTGGTGTAATCTGAACCAATTAAGATGTCTATATTGTTTACTATCATTTGAGCTGTTAATTGTTGGTCCTCTTCAATTAAGGCATGAACAAGATGATTTTTTTTCTCACAAATTAGTGTGGATGGTCTGCAGCTATTGACTTCATTTTCAACATTGTTTTATCCTGTAAAACAAGTTACCCATTTTTAAACTGCTGATTTCTTTGGGGCATTATGTCCATAAATTTTTGTAAAGCATCAATAATTTCACTTTCCTTCCATTCAAGCTTCACTATAAGTTTGATGTTTGTTCTTTCTTTAATTTTAGCAGAATTCATGTTACTCTGATGGGGCTTTTTTCAAACTGATGTCTTATCTTTCTTATTACCTCAAATGGATATGAGGTTTAAAATTGGTGGGTTATAATTATAAACCCGCCTTAACAGGTTTAACACTTATAGTAAAGTATTTCAGAATCAAGTCTTATTTTTCGTGTTGCTTCTAGCAAAAAAAAAAAAAAAAAAAAGTAACTTCAAATAATTTAGAAATCTCATCATTAAATTACGCTGTTCTCAAGATTTACCACCTTGATTTGCTTTATTTCAATGTATCAGTCATGTCCTCATCTAGGATTACCAACCATACTGTTTTGCAGATCATGTTCAAACATGTTATAACAAGTTTACATGAATTTATTTTGCTGCAAAAAAAATTAAAATCCATGCATAGTTTTCACATATTATGCATTTTTCATAAACATTTCCAAGATTCCTCATGTATTGTATGTATCTAGCAATGTTTTCCATTTCTTAAGAATAGAGCAGAATATCCAGAGAAATATCACTTATTGCCCATCTATTATGAGTATAGACCTGTGCTAGAGTCTACTGAATTATTTTTATTTCCTTCAACAACTTTAGGAGGGTAAAATTATTAATTTTCATTTTATACGTAACAACTAAATCTCAAAGTTTTAGCTAAAAGAAGCTAATTAATGTATCTAAAGATTAGAGATAGAAAGTGATTGATAACCATGATCTATTTAGATAAAGGGTAAGGATAGAGTGACCAGTCATCCTTGTTTTTGCCTAGGAGTTTCCTAATTTTAGCACTGAAAGAACTCTGTCCAGGAAATTTCCTCAGTCTCAAGAAAAACAGCATGGTTGGTAAACTTAGATTAACGCATGACTGCTAAGCTGAAATAAAGCAAATAAAGGTAGCAAATCTTGAGAAAAGCATAATTTGAAGATGGGATTTCTAAATTATTTAAAGTTATTTCTTTTTCTGGAAGCAACAAGAAGAAGACATGACTGAAATACTTCATTGGAAATGTGAAATTTTTACAGTAGGTAGCTAGACAAACATGAGCAGGGCAGGAGAAGGTCCACTACCCTAGGAATGTCCCCTACCCCAGGTGACAGGTGGTTGTTAAACTAAGATAATCATTGGTCACAGGTGGTGCCAGGGAAAGGCAGTCTCCCAATAGAAACAATACACCTTAAGCCGGTGATCAGCAGCTTCCCAATAAGATCTCAGAAGTTCGGCGAGTAGGCTCAAGCATGTACACTGAGAGGCAAAATGGCAGAGTTTAACTGATATTTGACCTTCCTCTAGGAACAACTGATTGGTAAGGGAAAAGCGCCTCAAATGAGCATGAACACGATTTTAGTAAACACACTGCACATGCGGTCCCTCCCAAGTGCTGGCAGGCCACTGTGCATGTGGACAGCCTGCCCTAAGAAAAAATCAAGGGAGGAGAAACACAAACCCCGGGATCATACCAATGTACAAACTCCAAGTCAAAGTTCGTATGGAGCAGTTGGATCTCTCAAGTAGCCCTCTTGGCCCTCTTCCAAGTGTACTTTACTTCCTTTTCCTGCTCTAAAACTTTTTGATAAGCTTTCATTCCTGCTCCAAAATCTGCCTTGGTCTCTCACTCTGCCTTATACCCTTCAGCTGAATTATTTTGTCCAAGGAGGCAAGACTCAAGTTGCTACAGACCCATACGGATTCATCACTGCTAACAAAATCAGTTGAGGCAGGTTTATAATTGTAGGCCACCAAATCACTTCCATAGCAGAAAACTTATTCTATCCAGAAATAACAATGATCTGACAATGAAACAATCATTATAAAAAACCTTGTGTGTAATAAAGTCAAGTAACCCTGTAAGCTAGGCTCAGTGTAATCAACTGTTAAAAAGCAGAATAATTCTGACATAAAGTATTTTAATAATGGTTGTTGAAATGTGATTATCTTGGCATGGTTGTCATGGATTGAGTTTCCCTCAATATTTTTTCTTTCCTTTTGAAGATTTTTGTCTATAAAATATATTGTCACTCTGCTAGTTTTTTCTTGCATTTTTGAATCTTCTCTAATGGGAGACAGGAGCATAGAAAACATTAAATGGATAATAAGCAAGTGTTTTCTAATAGTTTGAAAAATTTCACTATGCATATCTCATAAATATAACTCATAACAAAAGCACAAGCATATGGCTCAATTTTATTTTTTCAGTAACCTGAGAAATATGGCATTGCCTCTCATTACCAGGTCTCTTTGGGCTTCAGAAAAAAAAAAAATAGACATTTTCTTGTTATTTCATCCCACCAATTTTAACATCAATTATTTCATCCCACCAATTTTAACATCAATAATTGCTTTAAAAAGATGAATAATAAAGTTAACAGAATGAATAGTACAAATACTATTGTGTATAGAAGTTGTCTTAAAGTGAAAGTTAATATAATCACCGTACTGTTGTATTCTTTGATTTCTGTGTTTTTTTTAATTACTTTGATAAATTCATTTTGCTCATGTAGGGGCCAAGGGAAAAAACTCCTTTATCCTCATAAAGTTCATTGAAAAATCAACTGTCAAAGGTAGTTTAAAATGAAGAATGGCATACAAATTTATTAATGTGTACATGAGAGAGATTCATAGAGTAATTAGTCAATATCCCAATGGGTCCCAAATTATATATTCTTATTTCAGAGGGGAGGGAAGGAATGCAGAACATAGGTAATTCTGTGGAGAGGAAATAAATTATTACCAGAGAGAATGAAAGCATCTAGAAATGGAGTTTAACTTGTAAATTGTTCTCTTTAGAAATTGAATGAGTTTGAAACGGACATTATCTTGTGAAAAGATCTGTCCAGGTGTCATTCTATTCCTGCCTTCTTTTGTGCAATAGATAATGAAATAAAAGGGAAAGGAAGAAAAAAACAAGTGTCTTCCTTGGTGAGTTCCTCTGGTCTTTATGTAGATAGGGGAAAAGATTCTGCCAAAGTCTGTTGATCTCCAAGTGCTTTTAATTTCAAATACTCATACCATGGAGCCATATTTGAGGCTAAAGTTCCCGGCACTACTTTATTCACCCTATCTGAAATTTTCCTAGAAGTTTCACACATAAAAGACTTGATTCATTACTGTGGAAAGATTTGGATTAGAGGTTCTTAGAAAAAAAAAAAAAAAAAAAAACCTAGGCGTAAGAAGGGAAAAAAATGGAATAGAAGACAAGAACAAATTTAAGTGTATTATCTCATATCTGCTTGAATCAGTCTCCTAGTGCTGAGAATACATCAGTTTGGCTGAACAGCTGTGTCCCATCCAGGAGGTGACATTGTAGATGGGCTAGCCCTTTATATATCATGCAGGCAAACAGATGTTTTATAAGAAGCAATTCTATGGAAACAGAAGGAAACTGAAAGTTAATGTTTGGACTAGTATATAAACTAGTTTTTGTAGAGTTTCTGAAATCTCTTCAGATTGCAGTGGTAATTTGAAAGATTTTTCTTGAACTGTAGTTTGAATCAGATGTTCAAATAAACTTCTTGAGTAGTTCACACATCAACAGGCATGAAGGCTGTTTATATATAAGCTGTTATAGTGATCTCTGCTAAGTTTATATTAAGTTGTCTAGCTTTAGTTTGCAGGGCTTCAGAAAAATCAAAGTTTTAATTTCTAGTGATTTCATGTGAGAAAACTGGGAGGAAATTTTGAACACATTAGTTTGGACATTTGTACCCAGGAAAGAATTCAGCCCAAATTATAGGCAAAGAATACAACTCAAAAACAATGATTAGGACTATAATCTAATAATAGGTGTAATTTAGTTGTTTTTTTTTTCCAAAACATAATATTTCTCCCTCCAGTCCCATTTTTTCACCACATATTAATACCAATTTATTTTTGAAATAAGCTTTAGTTTTATTATACTTGGTCTGATTTTTTTTAATAAAGTACATCAAAAATAGTAATTGAACATATAGACTGTTTTCAACCGGCTTTTCTAGAACTTTTTCATAAGAAATACCAGATTAGACTTTTAAAAGCCCCTCAAGGCCAAAAATCCAAGAGAAATTTTTGCCACTAGATTGTGCCTGTGATACCTATTCAAACTGGGTGAATTCCATTTATCTCGAGGTCACAAAAAAATCTTAAGTTTCTAAAATATCTTGCAGATCTTGGGAGTGTTAACAAGTGACATTCTTTACACACCACAAGGTCAGGAATCTTGTAAGGAAACCATGTAGACAAGGTGCCAGGCCAGTCTTTTAAAGGAAACTTTTATCAGCTCTGTAAGTCAAATTCAATTTCTCAAAGCAATTTGTTCATATCTGAAAATATGTCATTCAGGTCAAAGCCTTGGTAAAATAACCAGCATTTTCAATTGTGTTCTATTAGAAAAGAAAACATATTCTTATTGAACTTATACAGATAACTATATTGCCATAAAATAAAGATAATCCCTGATAGTTTCTGCATTCTGGAGAATTCAGGTAGAGAGAGAAAGGTAAATATTTCAGTTTTGCTCACAAGAGCATACTTTGTCCAAATTGCTGTAACTATTAATAGCTCAAATATAATAAGTTTCTTGACTCTGGAAAACAAAAGATAGAGAGAATCATCAATGTTTCAAGCAAAAAGAGTCATAAAAATCATTTTAGATCTCTACCAGTTCAATTTCATGTAATTAACTATAGTTTTACTTGATGTAGTTAGCAATTTTCATAAACACATCAGCTTTTTAATTAGTTTTGAAAGCTTCTACCTAGTCCAATAGTATGGTCTCTAAAGTTATCAAAAATCTGTACTCAGGAATAATTATCAGGGTCTTTTCCATGAATTTCCTTGAAGAAGATACAAATTTTGGATTATGGATAATTATAAACCACTTTGTGAGAAGAATCAAAGTAAAGCAATAGTTGTATGTCGACAAGACTTAGAATAACCTTGGCGAAAGACACAATTGACGAGGAAATTAAGTTATTTGTATGGCATACAATAATTTCACATAATAATTATAATTATGACTGATAACATATACCAATATGTATATGAATTTTGAGAACCTCATACAATTTTGGAAGACATAGTAATAACACATTTACACAAATATAACTATAAAAAGTCAAACATCATTTCTTACTTTCTTATTTAACATAGTTTTCCATATGACTTTTATATACCAGAGTCCAAAAGTTAAATTTGAGGTCAAAAACTTAATTTAGAATTTTAAAACTGATTTTGGAAAGTTTGTCAAATATCAAGTATTTAAAACACTTGATCAAAATAGAATTACAGGTCACTGTAAAATATTTATTTAGCCAAAGAAATAATTTGAAGAGTTCAAAAAGCAAAAACCTTTACTCTTCAATAGCGAAGAGACTCAATTTTCAAAATAATCAGAACACCTACTGAAGACAGCATGGAACAAAATCTCTCCTATTAATTGTCTGCAGTTTACTTAAAAGGTAATAAAATCTTTTGCTATTTCTTATTAATACTATATAAAAATAGTATTCAAAAAATAAACTAAATTCTACCTTTACATCAGTGTATTATTGATGCTAAAGTACATCTTAAGAAAACCTTATAAACAGGTCTATCCAATCTCAATCAGCTTTGACCACAAAAAATAAGATTTTTATAAACCTTTTATAACCTCTTACAATATTTTCATTGTCTTTCTTTTCCCAACATTTTATACCCATTGAATTTTATTTGTTATTTCATTTATATTAAAGCAACCTTTAAGTAACTTCCTAACTAGAAAAAAGTGATTTTTCTTTAATAAAAAACACATTTTCATGTTTTACTGTCTTTTTTATCAAAAGCACTTTTTTTAGAATTTGCATACAGATGTATTTTTCTTCTATTGAGTAGTTTTTATTACAAATATTGATTACAATGCTAACTCTTAGAAAGTCTTAATATCAGTAAAAAAAATCCTTGGAAGCTATCAATTTTTAATTGGTAGCCACACACTAACAGTGTATGATTACATATTTTATAACTTTTAGAAATACGGGCTTTCCAAAAGAACATTTTAAAAATGGGAAACAGGTCATATTTACTAATAGATCTAAATAACTTTCTTGTTTCTCTGAAATAAGCCAAAATATATGAGCTTAAACTTATATTTATTATAGTAATTAATGTCTTGGCACTATATCTTATTTGGAAATAATTTAGATATTCAATGAATGTATATAATATCACCTTGCTTAGCAAAAATCTAAAAGTACAGTTGCCAAAAAATTTGAGAAATCTTTATAAGTAAACATATTATAACACATAAGTATTATTAAAAGTTAATTGATAAACATTTATTCCATTTACGTCTATTTATTCTTAACAATTATGTTTTAAAAGTGTCATGAAACATTAGAGAAATCCAGCCATCATCTCAAGTTAAATTTTTTGTTTACTATTTTTATATTACTGTATGTCAGGCAAGTATTATAAAAGGAAGGACCTTAAAGTTAAACACATGCATGTATTGCTGATAACTCAAAAGACATAGTTATTTTTATTAAACCAACAACATTAAACTTATCTCATATACCATGAGATTACTAAAGCAATGTGAATTTGAAAAGCATTTGGGATTATTTACTTAATTTATGAGAACTCATTTATTTATAAGTCAATTTGGTACCATAAGGAGAATTTACAGAGACAGGTAAGCACATATACATAAAAATGCAGACAAATAGAAAGACTACGGCTTGATTTTAAAATTTTAGCCATGAGACCTCTAAAACTCACAAGTTTAAAAGGACAATTGGATTTGAACTGTGCCTTTGTAAATGGAAAAGGTTAAGGTTTATCTGTCCCACATGGCTGAAGCCCTCACTGAGTTTTAGAGAAAACAGGGTAGCAAATTTACATTTCAAAGCCCAGAGAGAGAGAGAGAGAATTTAAGCTTTTTCAAGAAGGAGTTTGTGTGTATAGCTAGGGAAAGATTAAAAATGGATGTCAAGGTAGCAAAAAATTATAAAAATTTGCCATAGGCTTCTAAAAGAAGACCAATTTTATTTACACGATGGCTTTTTATTTTAGTCTATTTTCCAACTGGACTGTTGAGCTCAGGATTGAGCCCATTAAGGAGCTGGGCCAGCAAAGCATTTGCAGTTTTTAGGGCTTAATATTTAAATATGTGAAAAGCAGACACAGCTGAAAGGTATAGCATCTAGAATCTCAAAGAAACCTGAAAAAGTAGTTTAGGCTAAGATGGGAAGGGAGGGGTCAGAAATGCCTCATTATACCCTCTTCCCTTTGGAGTTTAGACACTTCTGACCAGAATTAACACGAAAACAAAGATCTAAAGACAGACAAAACAGATTCTTTGTGACAATAAGACACCAAATTTCAACCTGACTCTGGTATAGCATCACATGCCAGAAAGCAGGCCTTGAACTAAATCAAAGTATTTTACCCCCAAATATATTTATTTGACATGTTTTGAAATAGACCTGCAAAGCTGTCTCTTGTGGGGAAAATTTGCATTATATTCTTCTTCCCTTACAATGAAGGATTTTCTTCTTGGTCACTTTGCAAGCTGGGGACCTGTGGCTGGCAAAACCTCACCTGGGACCCCCTTGGCCATGCTGGCGTACCCCAACTCACCTGTGTTGTAGCTTGAATCCATGTACAGTAGTTCCTGAACTCTTGTACCACATCCAAGAAGAATGAGAATAAGCTGGAAACTGAAATATGAGAAGGGCAGAGAATTTTGTTGAGTGACGGAACAGATCTCAACACAGAAGGGACACAGGGGCATGGTCCTCCAACCCCACAGTTGGGTGGTTCTCTCCTCCCAGCATGGCTGGGTGTAGGGCTTCTTATGAGCTCAGAATAGGAGAGGGGCAGGCCATGAGTAGTATGGGAAAAGGCAATATTCCATTAGTTAAAATGCATTATTCAGAAATAATCAATTGGAAAAAGGCAGGTAAACAGAAACAGAAGTTCTCACTCTGGGTCATAGGTTTGATCCTGGACCAGAAGTCCAAACTTTCAGCATTTAGCCTGTTTTGGCTTGAAGGTGAGGCTTCACTGGGGACCTGCCCCTATCTGCATAGGCATTTGGCTGCCTCCTGCCAATCTCATTTCCCCCTTCTGAAGAGGTACATAAAATTGCCATTAGAACAAGGACAAAGACAAATCTTAACTGCTTCTTGCCAATAAGGGGCACTGTTTTGGGAAAATGTCAGTCAGATCTTCCTCAGAGGCCTGTGTAAAGGTCCCCAGTAAAAAAGAGCCATCGTCCAAAGCTCTGGTTGCATTATCATTTGCACTTTGATGGCCCATCCCTTTTGTTTTTTTCTGAGCTGCAGCCAGAGATTACAGTTTGGTTCACAGGAATAAGCACAGTTAGTTTAAAATGTAGGCAAAAACTTAAAAACAACTAATGAGATGGAAATTTAATGACAAGTGTATAAGTTTTGAAATATATTTTTTCTCTCTCCAGTGTTCATTTTTGTAAATACAAATTATGATAGGACTCAGTTGTTTGCATAATAAACTTTTTTCTTATCCTTGGCTTGATAATTTCCATAAAGTGCAGCAAGAATAATTATTTTTTACATAGGCTTTTTAAATTGGCTTTGATGAAACTCTGTTCTATAAGGAATCTCACATAAGACTTTTTAAAAACAAATGCAGTCATGGGTTTTTACCCTCAAACATCTGTGAGTTGGGTAAATTCCACACTTCTGGAGGTCCCAAGATAACATGGGGCTCCTGGGGCTGTTAGAAATTGACATACTTTACTCACCACAGGTTAGGAAACCTATAAGGAGACTGTGTAGACAAGATATGAGGTGAATATTCCCAAGGGGCTTTTATTGGCTCTGCAAGTCAACCTTGATTCCTTAAAGGGAAGCATACCCTTCCAGTTAAAGCCTTGGTAAAAACAACCAGTTTCTCCAATCGTGTCCTGTCACAAAAGAAAATGGATTCTTATTGCACTTATGCAAATGACTATATCACCATAAATTAAGAATACTCAACAGTAGTTTCCAAATTCTGGAGAAACCAGGCAGAGAGAAACAAATAGGCTACAAATTTTATTCACAAATGGTTACCTGGCTCAATTGTTAAAAGCTGTAGATAACTAAAAAGAAAAGTTTCTTTGACTCTGAAAAGCAAAACAAGGATCAGCAATGTTTTCAGCAAAAAGTTAAAAAGATTACTTCAGTTTTCTGTCAGTTCAGTCCATTCAGTTAACTTTTGTTCTGCTTGATATTCATAAACATTTTAGCTCTTCATGAGTCCTGTATGTTATTTCTCTATTCCAATGTCACAGTTTTCAAGGCTATCAGAAACCTGCATTTAAGAGCACCTGGCAAAGTTCTATAGGTGATTATAAACCATCTTTTGAAGAGGAACAAAACAAGACAACAATTGTCTGTGAATGTCAAAATGTCCAGGGTAGTTACAGTTAAAAACAAAATGGACAAATAAATTTGGTTATTTCTGTGGTTTACAATAACTTAACATAATAACCTTAATCATAGTTGATAGCATATTCTCAGACAGTAGAATTTTTAAAATCCCATAACAATATTGGAACATGTATTAATATTATTCACCAAAATATAACCTAAAGAAGATTAAACATTCTTTTTATATTGGCAATCCCATGCCAAATAATCCTGTTTACCTCTTGTTTGGATGCTCCAGGGGCCCTCTATAGCATTCAAAAGTTAGGGGTCAGAAAAAACAACCTTGAAAATAAGTTTGATTTTAGGAAGTTTATTAAATATGTAAGAGGTTAAAACACTGATATTATGAATTGGAATTTCAAATTACCATAAAGTAATTTGTTTAGCCAAAATGGTGACTCAAAAATTTTTTAAAAGGCAAAAACGTTTTACTCATTAATAGGAAGACTTAGCTTTCCAAACAATCTGTCTCCTATTTCTCCCTTCCCTTTTTCGGCAGTTTATTCACAAGGCAAACAAAAACTGTCATTATTTTTCACTATTACATCAAAATCTTGTTCAGTGGAGAGAAAGCCAAATTTCACCCTTGCATTTGTCTAACTATTAATGTCAACCCCAATTTTTTTTAATGAAACCTAAGATAATTCTATCCAAACTTAACTAGTTTGACTATGAGGTGAGATTCTTATAAACATTTTATAACCCTTTATAACTTCTGTTAAAGAGCAGATCAGTGTCTTAAAAAACCTTGTTGTTCTTTCATTTCAACACTCAATTTATGGAAAAACTATATAATACCTATTATAATTGAGTCAAAATGTTCACACACAGAATTTCTTTTGCAAGATTAATTTTTACAAACCTTCCACAACTTATTTAAATCTTTAGCTTTATCTTATCTAATTTAAAACAACCCTCTAAACCTCTAAATTAGGCAAAAATTTACATTCCCATTTCCATATCTCCTTATAATATTTTACTAAAAACACATTTTACTTTTCTTACACACCTTGCATGTAAAGCTATTTTCAGTAGTCTCAAAACTCTTAGCAATTTTTAATTTTAATGTAAAACTGATAAGTTATCTTAATTACGTACTAAGCACAGATAAAGCCCGACTATTTCCAGCATATTTAGGGGTGTGGTTAATTCCATATGTTCCCAGGCCTTACAAATTGTAAAGCAGGTGAGTCAGTTCTCAAAAGCTGAAGAAGCAGTTTATAACCTTAAAACATTTAGCAAACCCAGTATCTCACCTGCATAATTTAGACCACATATTTACATTCTGATGACATTTTGCTTTATGAATCATATCTAAAACTGTTTTTATCTTTCAAAGATTAACGTCACATGAACGAAAAGACATTACCGCTTTTATTTTTCCTTCAAAAATATTTGATCTAAGCACTTATTTTCTTTAAGCCAATTAATTAGAGCTCTTTTTTATACAAACATTACACACATAACACATGTATGATTACACAGACAGAGAGAAGAAGATCCAGTAGTTATAAGATTTTTCATTTGCCAACCTCCTAATTGGATTATTGGCCTCTGGGTGGAGTCCTTCAAAAAGCAGGACTAGGAAAGCATGCAGCTTTGAGGGCCCAACAGACTTAGCTGGAAGACAAACAGATTTTGAGAGGAATCTTATCTGCTTTCAATTCCTGGGGTTCCATGAGGAAAACAGTTTTTTTTTTTTTGCCCAAAATGGGATAACTGGTGTCCTCTTGGTAAAGTTTTTCCCAAGAAGTCTCAGGCTATCAGAAGTTATCTTGGGCCTCTCATGTGTGCAAAAAGAATGGCAAGACAAAATGGAAAAAAATAATTCAGTCAACTGAGAAAATATCCTTTTCCAGAAAAACAAGTCCTGAGAAGAAAAAACATAAGGGTCTTTTGAATATACCTATAGCTTGTATATCCACTTTTAATTAAGCTGACTTTTAACCATAGTGCTCTTTAAAAGAAAAAAAAATCCGCATAAATCCCTTATTACCCGACTTCAACCACACCAAACAGCCATATTTCTGGCTTTTGAAAATCACCAAAAGTAACCTCACAGGTGAAATCAACAAACCTCAACTAAGGTTATTACTTAACTGCCAGTGTACAAGCTATTTTCAAAGAGGTGGTAAGCAGTTTTTACAAAATCTAGAAACTTTAAATGTAGCCCAGAGAAAGGAAGATTTAAGAAAGGAATCTAGAAGTTGTTCACGGAGGGGAAGAGAATGAGCAAATGGCAAAAGTCACACAGATATTAACCAGGATGTACTCATTCCCTAAGCCAGGATTGAACCTGGGCCATCATTGTAAAATGGCAGAAACCAAAAGAAAGTATTGCCACATGGTTACAAGGTCAAACTCCCAAGAATGTAAAACAAGATGGAGATTTGTAGCAAAGTTTGTTACTGACGGTTTGCTGATCTGGCTTGAACAGTGGGCTTATGGGGTCCTAAGCCCACATTCTATCCTGAGGGAATGATCTTTTTGATAGAAAGATACAGAAAGACAAATATTAGCAAAAAGTACAACAGATCCACTACAGCTTAAGACTAGCCTCACAAATCCTTTATTCCATTAATCGAAACTTTAGAGAGGATATAAATAGTCATCATTACCATTCCTTTTACTAGTTTGCATAGGGAGAGAGAGAGTTCAGAAGTCTGGTAAAACAAAAACAAAAACAAAACAAAACAACAACAACAAAAAACTTTTAACCTTTTCCAGCATGTCAGGCTTCTGGGTTCCCTTGTCCCGAGATATGGAGTCTTATCTACCCTGGAGTCCTGTGAAAAGGAAGCAGAGAAAGAGGTTTTTTTCATACTGTAAAAGTTGTCTGCCCTCAAGAAATTTTCTCAGTTAGATCTGTAATTTCTTCCCAGTACATTTTAAGCCAGAGTTTAAGGTGTGGGAAAATTAAATTTCCCAGTTTGAGGGATGCTTCTGAGGGTAGTGTCCTGTGGTACTGGGACACAATTATCCATCTACGAAGATAAGACATAGGAGGAAAATAAAAAAGTAGGTGTTTTTGTTTTGTTTTGTTTTGTTTTGATTTGATTTCCAAAGGGTTCCAGTGATTCAGGATATATGCAAGAGAAGTACAGATAGAAGATGGCCAATTACCCATCCAGAAAGAGGGGAAAAAGCCATCTCCTAGTTCTTTTTTCCTCCCAGTAAATACCCGAGGTACATGAGGAAGAAAAAGATAAGGCAATCCCTTTCTTTTTTCTGTCTTTATAGGCCCAGGTCCCAGCAACCTCAGCAAGGTACAGCCCATGGGTGACAATCTGGCTTGGGTTTCACCCATGTTAATGGGGAGGCATAGAGGGTAGAAAATATTCACACACACCTATGTGCTGGCCTATGCTCCCTGCTGTCAGTAACCTCATCTATGCCATGGATGCTAGCATGACATCTACTCATAAAATGTCAGGGCAGGGGGACTAATCAGCAGAAATTAGTCATGCTCACCTGTGCAGTGCCCCTTGACTTCCATTGTGCCTGCCTTTGGATCCCTCAGATCTAGTTTCCCTTTCTAGGACTTCAACCTGAAGCTTGGAATTAAGTTTGGGGCAAGAAGGTGCTTCAGGAGGGTTTATGGACTCATTAAATTAAATGTCAGGTGTCCCTCACCAGACTGCAGCCAGCAGCTGGCGGGGCTGCTCCTTCACTTCTTCCTTATCATTAAGTCCAATGCTAAGGTAAAGCTGTGGAACTGGATCCTCCTCAAACAAGGGGAAGGGAGAATTGGGGTCCTGGCCTAGTAATATGCCTTTCAAAAGGTTAAATAAGTAAATAAATAAATAGAAATCAATAAAAATTAACAAACAAACAGAAAACACCTTTTGCATAGAAAAGCTCCCTGTATTCATAGGGCAGTGTTAACTCTTGACATGGTGGAGAAAAGACAATAAAAAGCCAGCTTAAGTGCAGGGTGGTGAAGGTGCCTGAAAGAAAAAGCCTCTTGCTCTATGCAACTGGGTTCCTCCAACTGAGAGAGAAACTTTTAATCTCTGCTTCCTCTTTGCCTCTAAGAATAGACAGAAACCACATTGTTCTGAATTGCATATCTGATGGCTGGGATGAATGTTCATTTCACCCAGTAATATCTCTGTAGTTGGCAACAACACTCCTAACATTGTAAAAGAAGGGATAAGGGCCATGACAGCCCTGAAAAAAAGGAAGAAAAAATGCCATAGAAAAAACTGGATTGGAAGGAGGTCGACATTCCCAGCCCCCGAGAGAGATGGGGAGGTGGGGTCCAAAGGACTGTAGCTGTGCCATTGCTCTTAACTAGCTAATCAGAGGTCCAGTGCTTCATCTGCCTTCAGAAAAATGTCTGAGGACAAGAAGCCTCGGAAATAAGTGAAGATTTTAGGTCTGCATTCGCTCACCCTTCAGGTATCCCACAGGAGCCGGCAAAATGATGCAAGATTTTCTTTTCGGTGACTTTGCAAGCTGGGGATCTCCAGTTGGTGATGCCCTGCCGAGGTCCCACTCAGCCACACTGGCATGCCCTCACTTGCCTGTCTTATATCTTGTACCCACGTTCAGCAGTTCCTGAGCTCTTGTGCTATGCCCAAGAAGGATAAGAATATACTGGACATTGAAGAGTAAGGAGAGCAGACAATAAGATCTCAGTGGAGAGGGGGATGCAGGGTGTGGGCCCCTGCAGTTGGGTGGTTCTCTCCTCCTCACGTAGCTGGGTCCAGGGCTCAGAATAGGGGAGGGGCAGGCCATAGGTAGTATTGACAAAGGCAACATTTGATTGGTTAAAAGGCATTATTGAGAAAGAATCAATTAAGAAAGGGCAGGCAAACAGGAACAGAAGTTTTCACTGTGGGTAGTGGATTTCATCTGGTACCAGCAGTCTGGACTTTTAGCCTTCAGGCTGTTTTTGGCTTGAAGGTGGGATTTCACCATGGACCCTCCCCTATCTGCCTAGGCATTTGGATTCCTCTGATGTTCTCACTTACTAGATCTTTTCTGGAGAGACTGACGCTTTTAAGGCCCAATAACAGACATTTACCATCTATTCTCTCTGAAACTTGCTACCTGAAGGCTCCATCTACATCACAAGAGCCATGGCTTCCATAGCCCCTCTTATATTAACTCAAGCTGACTTTAACTCTTCATGCAGAGCTTAACTCTTTCAACCAATTGCCAATCAGCAAATCTTTGAATTTACCTATAACAAGGAAGCCCCCTGTTCCAAGATATTCCATTTTCTGGTCCTAACCAATGTATACCTTACATGTACTAATTTATATTTTTGCCTTAGCTTCTTTCTCTCTAAAATGTATAAAACCAAGCTGCAACCCAACCATCTTAGGCACATAGTCTTAGGATCTTCTGAGCCTGTGTCATAGGCCATGATCCTTAACCTTGGCAAAATAAACCTATAAATTGATTGAGAGCTGTCTCAGATACTTTTTGTTTTGCAGTGACAAAACAGGAGGGGGAAAGGAATAGGCTTGACAAGGAAAGGTGGCCTGTTGTGTAGATAAAATCTCACAGGTAACAGCTCTCAGAGAGAATAGAGGGTAAGCATTTCTTTCAGACCTTTAAAGTTGTCAGACTCTCAGTTAATCTTTCCTAGATGCAGACAAGGAAAGGCCTGGGAGAAAGCCTGACTGCATCAATGCAGATTTTCTCTATAGATGCAAATCTCCCCCACAAAAGACAGCTTTGCAGGGGTACTTCTGTTTGCTGGCTCTCTGAACACTCATCTCAAAATGTTAAAGAGGTATATTTTGGGTGAAATACTTTTATTTCGTGCATTTGCATCATTTTTATTTATGCTTATCTAGTACAGATAAAGAGTTATTTTTATTATTTGTCTTAACAGGCAAACTCCCCCACTATGCTTGGCACTATCTTCTGTAAGTTTGTTAACAATATGTTATGGTTTAACTCATATCAACTCCTGCTCTCCACTTCCCACCCACCCACCCAGGGCTGGAATGTATTATATATTTAAATATATTTCTTGGTTTATTCACTAGAACTGACTATAGGTTTCTTGGTCTAGAATTCTAACAATATTCAGCATTCTTTTACTAAGTACCTTCTGCCATTAATACACTATTAATACAAGCCAAAACATTGAGGACCTATAGGATTAAAAAGGAGAAAAGCAGATCATCTATTAAGGTTTCTTAAAATAAGAAAATAGAAGTGTATATAAATACATATATTAATGATAGTATAGATGGTTGAGGATACTTGTTTCTGATGTCTTTTTATCTCTTTCATCAATTGTCATCATTCTCTTCTTTAAATTTTCTAAAATAATGTTCTTAAATTTCTCAATATTTAACATTTTATACATTCATGGAGTTAATTGCAAGAGAAAGATAGTGTCATATTGTGATTAATCATAAAAAAAGTATATTTGGTCTTTGTACAGTTTCCTGGCACACAACTCCTAAAACTCTTGTGATAAGCATCTTTGTGAATGCTAATGAATGTGCGTTTCTGGATAGCCTCAGGATGAGGACTCATTGCCAGGGGAACCAGCCATATGATCAGAGGGTTGGAATTTCAGGCCCAGCCTCTGACCTCCAGGGAAGAGAGAAGGACAAGGAGCTAGAGGTTGTGTTAATCCCCAATGTCCAATAATTTAATCAATCACCACTATATAATAAAGTCTCCATAAAAAGCCAAAAGGACAGGGTTCAGAGTGATTCTGGGTTGGTGAACTTATGAAGGTGCCGGGAGAACACTGTTCTTGGATAATATGTGGAAGCTCTTTGCCTCTTCTTTCAGTTTTTTGCCCTATGCATCACTTGCTTCTGACTGTCCCTCAGTTTCATGTGTTTATAATAAATTAGTGATCTTGTAACTAAAGTGTTTTCCTGAATTATATAACATGAAGTAATCATATCTATTCCTACTAGAAATGTTGACCTAATGGAAGAAGTTGAGGCAGAAAATATAATTTTAAAGTGTTTACATCAGCCAAAATGAGAACAGCTGCCCAGAAAGGACACATTTCCATGTTGCCTGGGGGAGTTCTCCATTCAGCCTTTGTTACAAGCTGGTTTTTACAGGCAAAAGGAAACCAGGAGTGGGCTGATACAAGGTTGTTTGACAGGAATTC